>NC_000002.12:50796412-51099443 GCF_000001405.40 Homo sapiens
GACACCATGAGAGGTATGGAATGAATGAACCCGCTCTCTCTCTCTCCTTCTCTCTACTTCACCACTCCCACCCCAACGGCCCCATCTAAGATCTGGATGACTAATGGAAGGTTAATTCTCTGAGGCCTAAAGGAAAATTTCACACTTTCTCAGTAGTTCAAAAGTTTGGCTTTCCCCTAAGTGATAACATACAAATGGAGTAACAGCAGAACTCTCAACATTAAGGAGTTTCTGTGAAGGTGCCAAGGCATTTATTTAAAAGTTGCTAATCAGATTTCAAGGCCCAAAGTCCCGGCTCCCTCACATTAGTGATCAGATTTGTTAACTTTAATTTTTCATAACAATCCCATAAATTTATGTGTTTATGAGTTTTTTAGTATTTTAGTCCATTTGGGCTGCTACAGCAAAACACCTTCAGTTGGATAATTTATAAACAAGAGAAATTTATTGTTCTCAGTTTTGGAAACTAGGAAATCCAAGATCAAGGCACCAGCAAAGTTTGGGGTCTGGTAAGAGTCCAGTCTCTCCTTCAAAGATGGTGCCTTGTTGCTGCATTCCCAGAAGGGAGGACACTGTGTCCTCACATGGCAGAAGGGCAAGACAGCTCCCTTCTTTTATAAGAGCACGAATCCTATTTTATAAGTGCAGAGCCCTCATGACTTAATAACTTTCCGAAAGTCCCCATCTCTTAATACTATCACATTAGGTATTAGGTTCCAGTATATGAATTTTGGAACAATATTCAGATCATAGCAATTAGTTTATTTTTAAATTTTTTTCCTGATTGGTTCATAATTAGATTTATTGTTATATGGAAGCTGAGGCTACAGACTTTTTTCCTCTGTATCATAGACAAGATATTAGAAATGCAGCAACGGCATTTGCAACCAATATCCAGGTGTAGACAGTAGTTCTCAATCACTGGAGATATTGCTCCCCAGGAGACATTTGAAAATGTCTTATGACACACTTGATTGTCACAAAGATGGAGGGGAGGAGGAACTCTACAGCATCTAGTGAGTACAGGCCAAGCATGATCTCAAACATTTTAAAAACACAGAACAGCATTCCCAAACAAAAAATCATCCAGCCCAAAACGTAAATCATGCCAATACTGAAAAACACGGAGCTAGATCATGGGTAGACTTTGGAGACAGGTTAATGTAGACTCTTCTACATATTATCTATGCAAACTCGGGAACACTAATTAACCCTAACACCTCAATATCCTATCCATAACCAGGGTTTAGAAATTATTCCAGCGCAATCTCTGGAAAGGACCGAATGATGTAATTTATGCAAGGTACCTATTTCAATGTCAGATACAGAGCAAGCACTCAATAAATGGTAGCCCTGGCATATCACAGGCACTCCATAAATGTTAGCTTCCCATTAGTTCAAATATATTTTGACCAGAAGCTTCTCCTAGAGAAACTGTCATTCTAAGACAAACTAACTTCAGTGAAAATGTCCAGAAGTTCCCAGTGTAAGCTAAAAGAACAGTTGTCTTGTACACAAATATTTAGGTGATCAGGCTTCTCTGCTCACATAACTCAACTATTTAAATATATATTTGATATTTGTTATTTGAGGCGGGCTGGTAGAAATTGTATGCTAAAAGTAGATATTTCCTATGATTCTGTAGAATATTTACCAGGAGAAGGAAAGAGAATGCTTAATTATTAGGAATAATCATCCAATAAACTGTTCACTTGAAAGAAAGGAATAAGGAGAATATGGGGGAAATTCTAGTTATATATAATCACTTAGGAAACTCCAATAGCAGTAAAAGCATTGGTTAATATAGTTGTTATGATCTCGAAAATGCAGACCCTCAAAATCCCAAATCAATATTTTCCTCAATAGTCAAAAAGCAGAATTTGTTTAAAAATTATTTTGTATAATTAGAAAAAGCTTCTACCTTTCTTAACCAGAAATTGCTTTTTAAGTCTGCTTTTTCAAGTATTAGAGTACTCATAAATATTTCAGAAAAGCCATTCAGTTTCAGCACCACATGAAAAAGGAATGATAACTTTATATGTGTATCTCTGATTCAGGACACATTTTCTGAACCACCCATCATATTCCATGGACCCTTAAAATTCTCTGGTTCAGCAAGTTAACACTGCCCACTTCACCTTAACAAAGAAAATAAGAAAGCTTTAGGAGGCAAATTTAAAGAAGGAGAACATTCTCCCTGCAATATAAAGACCATGGAGGCTATACGCTGATTGATATTTCTGTACAAATGGGTAAAGAAATATCAGAAATGGGTACAGAAATATCAGCTACTCTACTAAAGTCAATGCCGTGTCTCAAATGCTGCAAAATTACAGCAGTCTGTATCAATTCTCTTTTGAGCAATAGTTTACAAAGCCATTCAAAAACTGTTTAAATTTTTATTAAATTCAAATTTTAACCTTTAATATCAGCAGATTAGAAGATCTTGCTAAAAAATAATTTGAGAAGCATTTTCTACATAGGCACTTGAGTTATTGGCAGCAATTGCTGAAAAGTTAGCATTTTTATTTCTCTGTTGTTATAATGTGTCTAAATATTAGGTTGGTGCAAAAGTAATTGCAGTTTTTACCATTGAAAGTAATGACAAAAAATTCAACTACTTTTGCACCAGCCTAATAATTTGGTATAAGCTGTCTATCTATATGTGTATCTACCATCTATCTCAGTATCCTCTTTCTTGTTGGACATGAAAAAAATAATATAAGCTAAATTTCCTCTGTTCATTTATATATGCCGTGGGATGATACTGCATTGGTAAATGAATTCATCGGTCAATGGATGAGTTATTTGTGTACTTTGTTCCATGAAGACATATTAAGTTTCACCTAAATCTTTCACTATGTTTGGATTCCAGTACAAAGTAGTTTTTGAGATTTGAGAAAGGACAACAATTTAATTCCTATACAGATGGTGAAATTGAAAGGCAGAAGAAACACCTGCATTTTGGAGAGATGGAGATGAGCCACAAAGTAGAGAGTCAGAGTGTGTGAGAACTGTCCAATAAAGCCACCCAAAATCTGAGGTGGGCTGGGGGATGTGTTCAGCACATAGTACAGACAATCCCCTAATTACAGTTGTTCAGCTTAGGATTCTGCGACCTTATGATGGTAAGAAAGTGATACATATTCACTAGAAACCGTACGTCGAGTACCCACATAACCATTCTGTTTCTCACTTTCAGTACAGTATTCAATAAATTACATGAGACAGTCAACACTTTATTATTATAAAATAGGCTTTGTATTAGATGAATTTGCTCAACTGTAGCCTAATGTGCGTGCTCTGATCATGTTTAGTCTAGGCCAAGCTATGATGTTCAGTAAGTTAGGTGTATTAAATGCATTTTTCACTGGGCTGTAACTCCATGGTAAGTCAAGAAGCATCTGTATTTGTTTAGAAAATACTTGGATTCAATTTCCAACTCTAATCTTGTGACACTTTAAGACATCCTCAATTACAAACACACATACACACACACACACGAGAGAGACAGAGACAGAGAAACACACATGATAATTTTTTTAAAAATTAAATGTACTTAAATTTAAAAGATGCTGTGCACATAATTTGTGGAAATAAATGAGAGAAATGGTTTCACAAAACAAATGTTGAAGAACTGTAGTTATGCAAAAAGCCAAAAGTCAGTATTTCGTGACATACTCTTTGGCCTCTAAGCAGGAATAACGCACTGTTTTAATCTTGTCATTTTATCCATTTTATTTTGACCCATTGCTTATACTGAGTTCAAAGGTATTTTGACTTTATAATTTTTCTATTTTCAATTTCATTGCTGATTTGTCAGGAAATCTCTGAGGAGCCCAGTTTTCTCCTTTAACTAATAGAGATAAGAGGATCACTCTTCCCGTCTCAAATCATCCTCTATTCACACCAGGTTAAGCCTCACTATCTATATTTACATTGCACTTTGCATTTTTTTCTATGGTACGTTTCATAATTTGAAAACATTATTTTTGTACTAATTTATCTATGAGCGATTATAGGACATGTTGTAGGAACCATGGGTGTTTTGCTAACAGATGTAGGCCAAGTCAATGAGTTGCTACTGCCTAACTCAGTGTAGTCACCTATGGAATAGCTATAAAATGAATAAATTAATAATGAATTTTTTTTTTAAGACAAAGTTTCACTCTTGTTGCCCAGAATGGAGCACAATGGCGCGATCTCGGCTCACTGCAACCTCCACCTCCCGGGTTCAGGCAATTCTCCTGCCTCAGCCTCCTGAGTAGTTGGAATTACAGGCATGCACCACCACGCCTAGCTAATTTTTGCATTTTTAGTAGAGACGGGGTTTCACCATGTTGGTCAGCCTGTTCTCGAACTCCTGACTTTAGGTGATCCATCCGCCCCAGCCTCACAAAGTGCTGGGATTACAGGCGTGAGCCAGCATGCCTGGCCAATAATGGGATTTTAATAGCACTTGTTACAAAAATCTTCATTTTTAATGACATTTGGAACTATTTTTTAATTCTTAAATTGTCTAACATTTTATAGTAAACTTTATTTTACGTCACTTTCTAATGTACGCAAGCATAACTTCAGAATTTACTGAGATTTTTTGAATGACTTCTATTAAACTAATTTAATTGCATAATTTTCTACGTAGCAAAGTTATTTTTTTCCAATTTTTAAATTTCTCTGATTCTTTAAAATTAGCATTATCAATTATTTTTTATGCAAGTTTATAAGAAGCAACTGATTCACTAATCAGGCTTATTTATGTCAAAGTTTCTAATTATTTCCAATATAGTGAGGTTTTTAGCTTAATTTTTATTAGCATTTCTACAAAACTCAATTTTTCTGAGTCAAATCACTCAGATTCTATTTTTTTGTTCAGGATAAAAATGTACCTATGACAAGTAGTATTGGGTTTTATAAAACCATAATTTATATCTGATGATTATGTCAATCTGCAATATGTATTGTGAATCACTTTATTTCTTGGAGAAAGGAACAGGGTAAAAGTTTCAGACTCTGTGAATATCTCTTAGAGAAAAAAATATCATAGTTACATAATGATGCAGGATCTGTGGATATAATAAGGTCTAAATGGCAGGACTAAATGCGAGGACTAAAGCATTCTATGCTTCCACATTATACCTATGACACAAGCTTTGATATTTAAAAATAAACAAAAACAAACCCAGATACTCCCAAAATATGCACAAAAAACTTCAGCTTTTATAAGAAAAAAAGCAAATATCAGTTTATATAATAGGTTTCCTAAATGTTTTGTGAGAATCTAGTTTTTGTATAATATTTATATTTGTATTTTCATTATTTCAAGGCTGGGTTTGATGTATTGGAAGCAAGGGCACAGATTTGGTAAAGCAGTGAATGCTTCCAAAGACAAAAATTTATTTCTGATATAACTTTTGAAGCAATGTGAATTTTCTTCTATCAAGTTTCCTTAAATCGAAATCAAACTATAACAATATCTTGGTTTCTATGGGTTCTCTGTCATGTGCATCCTCAAGTATATGTGACCAAAGGTTTTTAAGCCATAATATCACTATTATATCATCACCTACCTACCATAAGAATGCTAAAAATTGTCCTCTTTGAGATTTTGATAGTTTAATATTTCTGTGTGGAAAAAAAATCAAACCCAACAAAAGAAAATAATATATGATAAAGAATTACAAGGCCTTCTATCCCACCACTTGTTATAGGTTTAATGGTGTGGCCCTCAAAAGGATACACTGATGTCCTAACCCTCAGTGCCTCAGAATGTGAACTTATTTGAAAATAGGGTCTTGGCTGGGTGCAGTGGCTCATGCATGCAATCCCAGCACTTTGGGAGGCCGAGGCAGGGGGATCACCTGAGGTCAGGAGTTTAAGATCAGCCTAGCAAATACGGTGAAACCACGTCTCAACTAAAAATACAAAAATTAGTGGAGCATGGTGGTGGGTGCCTGTAATCCCAGCTACTTGGGAGGCTGAGGCAGGAGAATCACTTGCACCCTGGAGGCAGAGGTTGCAGTGAGCTGAGATCGCACCATTGTACTCCAGCCTGGGCAACAAGAGTGAATCTCTGAGAAAGAGAAATGGAAGGAAGGAAGGAAGGAAGGAAGGAAGGAAGGAAGGAAGGAAGGAAGGAAGGAAGGAAGGAAGGAAGGAGAGAGACAGAGAGAAAGAGAGAGAGAAAAGAAGGAAAGAAAGAGGAAAGAAAAGAAAGAAGGGAGGGAGGAGGGAGGGAAGGAAGGAAAGAAAATAGAAAATAGGGTCTTTTTAGAGGTAAAATCAAGTTAAAATGAGGTCATTCATGTGGGCCCTAATCCAATATGATTTTTTGCTCTGACTAAAAGAAGAAATTGGGACAAAGAGATAGACACACACAGAGGGAGGAGGATGTGAAAATACGCAGAGAAACCATGTGAAGACAGAGAACTGGAGAAATGCATCTGTAAGTCAAGAAATGCGGAAGACTGCCTGCACACCACCAGATACTAGGAAGACACAAGGAACGATTTCTCTGCAGATTTCAGAAGCAGAGTGACCCTGCCAACATCTTGATTTCAGATTTTTAGCCTCTACAACTATGAAATGATAGTTTCTTTTGCTGTAAGTCACCCAGCTTTTGGTACTTTTTGTGGTAGCCCTAAACAACAAATTCAACTCTTTTTCCAGTATTAACAGTAGTAAAATTAAAACAAGGATAATAAGAAAAGAAAATCTACTTTTCTGCTTACTCTTATAAAATCTGCCTAGCACTCATTTCTGCTGATTTGATTACATTTACATACAATTTTAATTAAAGAACTACTAATAAATGTTTCAATTACAGGAAAAAATACACTTAATGAAGAAATTGTCTATGATGATGATCTGAGAAGCCTTTTCAGAAAATGTTGTTGATATATTTATTTTTCTTTTCTACTATTACAGAGAAGACTGGAGGAGAAACTAATTCCAAGCCCCCATACATGATCAACTGAGTCATAAATCCTTCCCCAGTGTAGGTGAGAGTTCACAGATACTACTCTCATAATCTCTCTAGTAAGTCTTTCCATTTCTCAATCATTTAAGCAGTAGAGGACACTGTTTTTATTTCTTTGCATTTTCAATGTATAAATCGTGCAATAACACATTGTTCAATTTTTTCTAAGTTGGTTTAAATGCTGAGAATTCTCCTGAGTTCTCTTCCTTGGCAGAAAAAATAAATTTCTGGAATATTTTCAAAAGCATATCCTTGCAAATGGAAATGGTAAGCTTAATAAACCATGCTGTTTGAGGTCAGCCTTGCTGAATATTGCTCCTCATATCATCTTTAGTTATATAAGGTCATAAGGGATACTTACGTTCAAGATCATAAACAAAATGTTGGTGTAGCTCAGCAATTTCTTTTCTATGCTTAAGAATTATTTTCAAAAACAATATCACTTTTAACATACTTCTGATTCTCTTGATGATAACCCCAGGCTTTGATAGTTTGTTTTTCTTTTCAGCTTTTGCACTGGGCCTTTGACATATGAATATACCTGTATCACTCTCATAAACTTCAGAAGCTTTGTTGCATTTTCCTTCAAATTCTCTCTGGGTCAACACTTAAAGTATAATCCATTAACCAAGCCCTTGCAATATCCACAGTAGAAAATGAAGATAAGTAAATATTGCTGTGATTCTTTTACTGACATTTTTTCCAATTCTTACCCCTTTCAAACAGCGAATCAGTTCTCGAAATGAAATCAATCTTGTAGACATGATTACCAATTATAAAAAGATGAAATTTTCAAATTTTATTAATTGGATCAATTTTTAGTATCATTAAGATTACCTTGCTTTCATTTACATTAGGTGAAGTTATGGTATACAATGACACTAATAAGCAAAGGCGAGTTTAAAATAACAAGAGCTACCATTTATTCAATGTGGTATTATGTGGAAAGAAACAGTACCTGATGCTTTGCAAGCATTATCTTGCTTAATTTGCTTCATAAAACTATGAAAAACATATTATTTCAGTTTTATAGGTGAGGGATGTAATCGCTAGTACAATATAGGAAACACATGTCAGAGCCAAGATTTGAAGTTGAGTCTCTCAGACTCCAAAATCTGAAACTTTTTCAAATATGCCGTCTTGTTTTCCACACTGATGCTTTTGACCCTTGCCATAAAGTCAGCATGACCTCTTTGACAATGTGAATACAGTTAACACTGTGCACTTTGAACAAAAGAAAAGGAAGTAAAAGGACAAGACCATTTTCAGGCAAAATGAAGAATATGCAAAATGTCCCCTTTTTTTCTTTCTTTTTGCTGATTTCCTTCCTAATTCCCTCCTCACTACTCCCACCTCTAAGTCAAAAGCTTTTTCTTCTACCTTCAAACATCTGCAGCTATGCTATTTCTTAATTTACCTATCAAAACCACTTTTCTCTCCAACCACTCTTCCCTTCTCCCAATATACTTTTATATCAGTAGTTGTTATCCAATGACTATGAATTTAAGTCTTTTGTTTCTTTGGGAACAGTGTGTGCATGTAAGAAGAAGCAGTACAGTATAATAAAGAAGGCAGGTTTGGGAGCCAGGCTCTTGGCTGCATCACTAGGTGACCTTTTTGTAGCCTCTTTGTGCCTCAGTTTCATCATTTGTCAAGTAGTGCCTATCCCAGCACTTACTGTGGGAATTAAGTGAAGTGATTAGAACAATGCCTGCCACATAGTTGGTAATATATGTGTTAGCTGTTATCCAAATGTATCTTTCATTGAATTAAAAATGTAAATAAAATATGTCTTCTACTAAAGGAATTGCACAAATTACCATGAAAAAGTAAAAAAAAAAGTATTGGGATTTTGTTTTATTACACCTCTAAAAACATATTACGTGAGGACTTTAGACATATAAGGTTACTTCTATGAAGAAACAGAATGGAAAATGTCAAGTCATTTAAGATGCTCACTTATTACATTAAAATATTTTCCAGGCAGGTGTGGTGGCTCAAGCCTGTAATCCCAGCACTGTGGGAGGCCGAGGTGGGCAGATCACTTGAGGCCAGGAATTCGAGACCAGCCTGGCCGACATGGCAAACCCCATCATTACTAAAAAAATACAAAAATTAGCTAGATGTGATCCCAGCTGCTTGGGAGGCTAAGTCACGAGAACTGCTTGAGCCCAGGAGGCAGAGGTTGCAGTGAGCCAAGATCACGCCACCACACTCCAGCCTGGGTGACAGAGTGAGACTCTGTCAAAAGGACGGAAGGAAGGAAGGAAATAAAATATTTTCCATTGATTACCCATGCTTTTTATTTTGAATTAATAGTGTTCGATGCATTATTAAAAAATAGAATTTAAAATAAATTGTAGAAAATATGGAGAGAAATATTTATGTTTCAAATTTCCCAAGAGTAGGGCTTTGGTGCATTATAATCCCCTGATAGCTGGCATGATCCACTTTGTTGGTTACTTTTACAGGGTCCTTCTACTCTCTTCCTTAGTCTCCAGGCTTTTAATAATCACACAGAATATTCTTTTCACTACAGAACATACCTACCTATATTTTGGCTGTTTCTCAAGCTGACTTATTTCCCAGACATATTCATCCTTTAAGTACGCAAAAATGACTTTCATAATATTTCCATTGATAGGCAATACACAAATATGTTTAAATGAAGGAATAATTTATTGCATTGTACTTTAAAATCCACATTCCTTGCTATACATAATCTGAAACCACTGTAAAAGTACACTTTTTTAATGCAACAGCAGGCATACATTTTTTCCAGTTTGATGTAGGCAGGACCTCAAATAATGTCAAAGTAAAGATGGTCAATCTATTCACTATTGGAGGAAAACATTCACTGTGTATCAGCTTGAGTTGGAGAAATTACAGTTAAGAAATGTTTTGTAACTAATGATGGCTTCCACGTTTGTAAATCAATGACTCATAATGTATACATGTAAACCTATATTTCATTATTTTGTTAGTAAACCCCATTATAACATATACTTTAACCCTATTATTCAATATAAAATGGCAAATGCATTTTTATGATTCATTTGTCGTATTGTTATTTTACTCAAGATTTGTTCAAATGTTTTACTTTTTGTAAGTTAAACTTTCTATGCTTAAGGAGTATATAGCTACAAGAAACAGATAAACACTAAAAATTACAGTTCTAAGACTTAGTTGAATATCTTTCAGTAATTTCCCTTAGAGATATGGTCACACTGACCAAGCTACATAAATATATTTTTTAAAATTTAGTATACCAATGTGTCTATTCATGATAGGTTGTGTTTTTCTCCTTGTACCTAAAAGTTTGATGGTTTCTTTTCCACTCTGTCTCTCTCTCTCTCTTATTGAGCTACCTCGTACTAGTCCTGCCTAAAGTTTTATATTGTTTCTATTCTAACTATACTCAGAAATACATAATTTGAAACTTGAATATAACCTCTTTTGTATTTCTAATTTTTGGTGAGCATTATTCTGGTTGTTAGCCCCTTGAAGGCAGGTACTTTGTGTTACATTCCCAATTTATCTGACAAAATATTTAGTTCAGCATAAATAATATGCTTAGCATTCAAGATATAATTTGTGATTAATTTATTTTGCTTTATAAGAGGAATTCTGGGGGTAGCATACACGCCAATCATCCTTGAAATATATATAAACTACAGTGCCTCTAGAGTGTTATAGAAAAGCCAGTGGATTAAACATCAAAACCTCTTAGAGTCTCTGAATCATATTATTCTATTACTTCTCTTATTTTCTTTATCTATCTTTGTCTCCTATTATAAGAAAGAAGACATAAAGATATAAAAAACTTTTCCTACCTCTGCCTTGAAGAAAGTTTAACTATAACCTTCATAATTATGACCAGGGACAAGTTAATGACAGATTCCAGCTTTGGTATGGCTAAGGTAGACCACTCAAGGGATCAACTAACTAATATCAAGGACAGTAAGGTTCTTACCCCATTCATGAGCTTCAAGTGTTCTATCTCACCCCAAAAGAGATTATAACTCTTTTTTTACAATTTCATTTTATAATATAAACCACTATTTAACCTATATTTCTGAATCACTGGACTGAATAATTTTATATCAATTTATTCCAACTGCTATGAATACTGAAAGTGCATGAATGGAAGATGGCGGCCCATGAGGCAGGCCTTGTTAACAGTGTTTCCCCAGCAGAAGGGTAAAACACAAATAATCCCTCCAGAGAATCAATTTGCAAAAGGAGCTCTTCAAGGTTCTGAACTCCTTTCCTTGCTCTGCTGTACTAATTAGATCTGACCTAACAATGATTCTGCTTATCTTGGCGTTGTGTCACTACCCTTAGCTATACTTTAAATTAAGAAACTAACATAATTTATTTTGAGTTACTAGTACAAAAGAAAGTAATCTTCTTGATGGGATTCAGTTTGAGGCAGTAGGTTCTGTATAAAAATTTTTATCGTAGATACAATTGTCACCTGTTTTCTAGAAAAAATATATTAAATATAACCTAATGAATATGCCAAACTTACTAGGTCTGTATTTTTGCTTTATATAAAATGTCATCAAATTTAAATATAATTCCCAATAAAGTCCACATCTCTGAATTATCTATTACTTGCATTTTGGGGTGTGTTTATACTACCTAGAATGTTAACCCTTATTGTGCCTTAAATGTGCATTTGTAAAATGTAGGCACTTTTATAACTATGAGTGAGGCTGGTAAGGTAGTGTTTAGGATTCTCCATGTCAGTTAGTGAAAGTAAGAAGTACAGTGTTAAAACTATTGTAAATAGTTTCCGGGGCAAGTATAGACTGAGTCCATCCAGAATGACTGTAACCAATTTGACATCATGTTATGGATAAAGAAGCAATGAAAAATAAACCAAATAGCTACATTATATCATATTCTTAACTTTCATAAGCCATGTTTTATGGAAAACTTTTTAGTTTTCTCAAAAGGCTAATATATTTCAATATTTTGAATACATCATTGTTAATTTTGAGTTGGCAGAGGTAAATTAACCAACTACCATTACGTTTTAGGATTAAGAGATATAGCTTTTAATAAAGTTACTGAAATGCAAAAAAAAAGAGAAACTAACATAAGTTAAAATTGATTGTACATAGTGTCAAGACAGCAAACTCAAATGTCTAAAAGGACCAGGGAGAAAATGTCAATAAATAAATGTTTGTGTTCAAGGAAACCCAAAACTAGAGCAATTGAGGGCCCACACAATCTAAGCATAGTGTTTTCTGACTCTTGATGCATCAATAAAATACTTGGCCTCTGATAATTTTATTTTATAAGATAAACCAGTATATAACCTATAGTTCAAGATCACTGGACTTCACACTTTTATAACGATTTACTCAGGTAACTAAAATATTTCTTCGCTGAGAAGATCACCCTACTGCCTCACTTTCAACACATTAATTAAAGATCTTAGAACCATAACAAGCTTTAAGGACTTACTAAACAATTAGGCAAGAAATTACAATTTTGCCAGTCATCCCAGGTAATCATACCATCCTGACTCATAAAATTTCCTTATGAACATATTGACAACTTTTAGGAAAAAATCTTTCTAACAGACTGCTTGGGAAAATTCATAATGTCTCTGGCCTGGTCACACAGCTTAAGTACTTTCCGTAGAAAATATTCATGGGATTTATAGAAAGTCAGTCTACAGTGTTTACAGATTAAGAATCAGACAATCAGGGTCCTCTTCATGGAAAATGAGGATCTATTTACAGTTTATCAATAATCAGAGATGCTACGAAGTTGTTAGAATGAGCTAGGTGTAGCCTTGAGGACTTAGTAAAAGTCCTCAAAGGAAACTTAAGCATAAGCAGAGTAACTTCTCTCTGAAGAATAAATCAGGATACTTCCTGATGTCTACCGAAGGTCCCTTGAAGCCATAAGCCCAAACATTTTTAAATTATTTCTGTCCCAAATCCTCTCGCTAAGGAATTAATGTCATCCTTTAAAGATTTAGCATCATATGAATGGAGAAGAGCCAGGTAGGTGCTTTCCTAGAGAGAAAAAATAAATCAAACACAATTCATACTTTATTCCAGAAATTAAGTGTTAACATGTCAAATGCTTTTGTCTTTAATTTGAATGTCTTTCCCTTCATAATTATGTAGAGCAGAGGTTTAGTATTTTTGAGGCTATTAAAATTCCTGAGATAAACTTGATTTTTCTCTATGCCGTCACGCTCCAGAAAACATAAGAAGAATGTTAATTCTAACCTAAAAGAACCCAACTACTTCTGTGGATAATCAGTTTAAACATCCATGGGTCAGAGGAGGGGATGACAGTTTATTGTGATAAACACATGTCTAAGAGAACCAGATCAAGGTCACTGACATGTTTAATATTAATTGCTAAACAACTGTCAGATGGCAATGGTTTGAGTTCACCACCTCTCATGAGTTGAATCCAAATTGCTCTCTGAAGGAGAAATCATCTACTAAATTCTGTTCTTTCAACAATGAAAACAGGCATACCTGTCAATTTTCTATATAAAAAATACCATTGTGTTTATTCACTCACGTGGATTTTCAGCTCTGCCAATTCAATTTCTTCACTGAACCTACTAGTATACGCCTCTTCAATATAGTCACGTTCAAATAAATAAGAGTAATATTCTCATTGAGAAAGGGATATATACCTCAGATAAATTCATTGTTCCCTCTTACCCTCTGTTGTTGATAAATTTAGTTTCCAAACATTCTAAAGCAATCTTTTGAAATCATCTGTTGGCTTGAGTACAAAGAACATGAGGTCCAACTAATTCCAAGCATTTCTTTAATATGGTAAAGGTGTTGCTTTGATTGTTACTCTCAGCCACGAACTACCATTGGATCATTTAATTCCTTCAAAAGCAATTGAAGGACTGGCTTCAAACCTTTCAAAATCTGTTTTCATATCTACATATACTGAGAGGAATAGAGAGAAGTTTCTGAATAAAATAATAATACTTTGCAGTTCTCTGAAACTTGAGAGGGAACCAGAGAATGTTTATTACTGAGTTTTAATGTCTTTTAAAGAGCCAACACCTGATACTTCAAAAACGTTAATCACTCCAATAAACATTTTACTCCCAGAAATTCATCTTAAATCCATCTTATAACATAAACAAGCCTAGTAAGTAGCATTATTAGGAGAAATTTCTGGCTGAGTTCCACACATATATTCAACTTCCTGAACACCCTCTAAAAGCAATTTTACCTTACTTGACACAATACAGAAATTAATCAGCATAATAAGTAAGCTAAAACTTCAATAAAAGTGTTTGCATCTTGTCCAGGCAGGTGGCTCATGCCTGTAATCCCAGCACTTTGGGAGGACTAGGCAGGTGGATCAAGAGGTCAGGAGATGAAGACCATCCTGGCCAACATGGTGAAACCCTGTCTCTACCAAAATACAAAAAATGAGCCAGATGTGGTGGTGCACACCTGTAGTCCCAGCTACTCGGGAGGCTGAGGCAGGGGAATCAGTTGAACTCGAGAGGCGGTGATTGCAGTGAGCTGAGATCACACCACTGCACTCCAGCCTGGTGAAAAAGTGAGACTCCGTCTCAAAAAAAAAAAAGTGTATCTTAATTTGAAAATATTCATAAAGAAAAGTGTACCCTGGTAAGGGGGACAGATAACCTAAAAGAATTATAGGGGGAAGAGTTTTACATATATAATGATCACATTTTAAAAATTATAGTTGACCTGCAGATAAATAAAGTATGGTGTTTTTGCCTTTATTCCTTAAATATAATACATATCCTTTCTCTCAATGACCGGCTAATCCAACACTGATGATTCCTTGAAACATCCCTGTGACTTAAAGTTTACAATTTCTAAGAACTTTTCCTAACTCACCATCTCTCAGTTATTCACACACTTAAATTTTCTTTTATCCTATTGAAATCATGCAAGTATTGTCTGCAACCAAGATAGGTAAACATATCTTCTAGACCACTAGAACACATGGCTGTTTTCCAGATATACAATAAGTGATGTCACAGACAAAGAATCAAGATACACACTTCTCTTTACCACTGAAAATGTTCACCTCACATTTTTATCTCAACTTAGGTGGGTGTGTTTTTGTTTTTTGATTTTGTTTTTCCTACTTATGAAAATAGTGCCAAAGATCTTCAGTTGGCACTCCAAAGCACAGACAATTGCAACCAATGTTCTAGAGTTACTTCTGAATATTATCCTAGACAAGTAGCAGGAGCACTGACATGTTTTCATAAGAGAATAAAAGACATACAAAGATTTATTATCTGGCTTCATAAATTTAAAGCAACTGTAGTGCCTTGAATGTCTTTGTATAAACTTTTATATGACTCTAAAAGAAGATAAAAATCTAATAGAGACTTTCAGAAGGTCAAATATGAAAGATGATCATGTCTAATGAATAAATTGATTTCTGCTGGAGTAAATAGGTCACAATTCCAAAAAGAATCTGTATTATTTTTTGACAGTGCACCTAAAGTAAAAATGTGGCTCCATATTATGTAAGATTTTGGTACAATATTTAAAATTCTAAAATCATTAAGCAATTCCAACCTATACAGAAGTATGACACCTTGGGATTATCTAGACTATATGGCTAACTCTTTTAATTGTATACAGATGTTAAGTCTTACCTCTGCATGTGTGCATTGAGAAACCAGATGAAAAAAAAAACTTAACTGTACTTTTCAAAAAACTTGGTTAGATATTTTTATTTAAACATTTGGTTTTGTACAGTATACATTTAAATTACATTGCTTAATGAATCCATCTGAAAACAGTCACTGGTTGCTTCTGTGATTTGTGAATAGGAGAACATATAAATATAGCAGAATGACTTTGTCTAGCAACATGTTCTTGCCAAGATAATTGGGAATTAAATATTTAAATACATGGAAATAATATCTTTGCGGTTACATATGTGACTTCCAAATCAGACCAAACTAATTCCTTAGGAAGGCCAAGAGATAGTGAAGCCATAGCATCAGAGTGACACCCAGAAATTACAGACGACAAGCATTATGCAAAGGCATAGAAAATTTGAGATTTTGGTTTTAAGAAATTTTCCTCTTTGTAAGTCAATGTCTTAGTAAACAGGAACTATGTATTCATTACAAACATATTGATAGATGTGTATGTGTGGGCATTCATGTGTGTGTATACATGACTATAATTCACAATTTAATTTGGGTAGATAAATAGATATTGTATAGATCCACATATACTTTCATTTGGCTATATATAAAATATATATACATAATATATAGAATTTCATCTGGTTATTATATTAATATACCATAAATAATAAGAGTGTGTGTGTGTGTGTGTGAGCGCATGTGTGTGTGTGTGAAATTTAGCTATAAACTTTGAGAGGGGAAAGAGAAAGCAAAAAAAAAAAGAAAAGGAAAAGTTAAACCTCAGAAGAGAATACACTGATCTAGTGAGTTTTTTTAAATCTTGAAAAAATGGTTTTAAATTTTTGTTTGATACTTTTGTAATCTCAAAGCTGTCGCAATAACATATAGTGGTTTTGAATTGAAAAATAAAAAGATAATTGCCTGCGCTCAGAAGCTGGAGATCAGTTTGGGCAACACAGTGAGATCTCACCTGTACAATAACATATTTTAAAAAATTAGCCATTGGAGCAGTGCATGCCTGTAGTCCCAGCTACATGGGAGGCTGAGTCGGGAGGATGGCTTGAGCCTGGGGGACTGAAGCTGGAGTGAGCCATCACTGCCTCATTGCAACTCAAGCCAGGGTGACAGCAACACCTTGTCTCAAAAAAAAAAAGATATTAATGGCTTAAATATGCATAATCTCATGTTTGTTAAATGATGCACAGCCATGAATTTACTATCAATAAATATTTTTACCATTTTCTTTTTTGTTATCTTTTAGATCTCCATCAAAATAAACATAAGTAAATTAATTCTTTATCTTTACTTTTGCACTATCTTCTCTCGTTTATAGCTTTATCTTTTCAATCAGTTTCTAGCTTCCTTTGGTTTTATTAGTAATGTATTACATTTGCATAGCATTATGTATTATATTGAACAATATAAAAGTGCCTTTTATAAGTAAAAATCGTTGATTATTAGCAATTTCATATGGCTTAAACTTAACTCTTCTCAAAGTGCATTTTTATGAATTCCCTCATTTGATCATCAACCTTGTTATAAGATTAATACTCAGGTTACACAAAAGAAAATAAGGTTTCAAAGAGTTATTACTAAGTCTGAATCAGCTAGATATGTTAAAGTACTGGTGCATTGATTGTAGATTAAAGATGTGAACATGCATATACAAAGGCATTGTCCTGAAATTGGTTTTAATTAAAAGCTCAAAATCCACATTTCCATCTTCCCGCCACAATCTCTTACCCCACTAAAAAGTTATCATGATGATTAACATGGGGCCTTACTTCACTGAACTACTAATTATTCTTTTCAGTGCTTCTTTTATTATTATGACTTTAACAATACATCTTCTGATCTTACTAATATATTTTTTATTAAGAAGCTTAGTTGTTTCTACCAAGATTAAAGAGGAGATCATAGCCAAGTTTCTTTTAAAAATGAAGACTGCTTATTCTTAGCAAGAGGAGAAAAAATTGAGGGCAAAATTTTGTGGAAATTTAATTTGCCTCATTTGTCCACAGTAGGTAAGTATGGCAACTGTATGCAAAATGCAGCAGCCACGCATTTCATCAGTGATAATATGTGACTAGACTTTCTACCCTCTCTGTTTGTTTTTGTTTTTGTTTGGTAGAGGTAGCACCTCCCAGTGTTGCTCAGGCTGTTCTTGAACTCCTGGCCTCAAGGAATCCTCCTGCCTTGTCCTCCCAAAGTGCTGGGATTACAGATGTGAGCTGCCACACCTGCCTTTCTTCTCAATTTTTTAATCAATATAAATTATAAAATGTGGTTCACAACTAAGGTTGAAAAATATCTAGTCCTTCACCCCTTACCCCTTCTCATTCCCCAAACCCTGTGAATCTACTGTAAAATGAATTCATAAACCAAGAGTCATTGCTTTTTTATTCTACTGCTTACATTTTACTTGGCAAACACAGAAAGAAGTTGGGTAGTACCTCATGGAAGAACAAAAAAGAAGAACCCTGGGGAACAATTTCTGGGAGTATATCATACCACATGAAATCTGGAAAACTCCTTCATTCTCATCTGTCTTTTTTCCATTCTAAATCAACACACTAATTGGATAAAATTTTGCCCAGTTAACTTATACTTCCTGCAAATATTACTTCAAGGATCTCACTTAAAAATGTAAAATAATTAAATCCCCCCACAAAAAGAAATAATTTAAAAATATACAAAGGTATTTGATACATTTTATTCTTATTCTCTCAAAATTATTATATTTTGAGCAGAATTATTATATTGAAATTCTGTATTTTCCTTACTTAGCATTGCACTGGGAATAAGCTGGACACCATCTGTTTGATTCAATTGTTTACCTCAAAGGGGAAGTAAGTTCTAGAAAACAACTCTGAAAAACTGTGTAGATGAACTTTCTGATTCTACGACATAGAATAAGGAGCTATATAGAGAATTCTTAGAACTATGTCATAGAATCAGAAAATGTATAAGGCAGAATTCTTAGAATTATGTTGCAATCAGATGAACTGACATACTCTTTTTTTTTTCCTTTTTGCCTCTTCGCTTTACAATCAAGTTAAACCAATTTACCTTGACTGTGTTTGCACTATTCCTACTTCATCTTTATTGAGTAATTATGTTCCTTCTCATGACAACAAAACTACATTTTGAAACCTTCTCATTTAAAGCAGGTACACAAGACAAGACAGACACCGATCTCCAGTGCAGAGGTGCATTGGACAATGTGACAAGGGACGCAGTGGTAATTATAAAAGATCTGTTGACATTATGTCTTTTCTAAATCCCATTAGAATGATGCATTTTAAACTTATTATTTGATCAGGATGAGGAGAGTAAGATAATTAAAATCTTTACAGTACCTATATTTCATATACTAAAACACAGTAACAATATGTGAGAATTATATTTCAAGCATTGGGTCATTTCTGTGTCTTATAAGTCTCTTTGCTATTTAAGAACCCATGGTATTTTTTTATTTCTATTTCTATTTCAAATATTAAAATGTTTATACCCATATGTCTATTTCAGAAGAGGTATTGTAAAATGATTTAAAATTTTGTGGTCCCTTAATAAATTCTATATAAAAAGCATAGATTAAAGTGGTCAGGACTATTTAAAAACCAGTATTTGTGTGTATGTATATGTGTGTATTTTAAGAGAGTGAATATCCATGAAACATATCCTCATAAACTGGCCTAACTGGTCTTCATAGAAAAGCATTATTTTCACGCTATTTTATCTATAGAATTAATTGTTTTGCATAGTCATAGAATTTTCTATATACAAGAATCCCCAGTGCCCATCTTCCTACAAGTTAAATAATGCATAAGTGTATCCTGAAAAATGCTAGAATATCTCTCTTCAGAGAACCCATGTAAATAAATTAGCTCATATTCTTGGAAAACAGCCTTGCTGTGTCTGTGTGTTCTCCTTCACCACACCTGGACAGACCTCAACTCGTAAACAAACATCCTAAGATCTTAAGTATAATTAGTGCAACCAAAACACTTGAATATCAATATTATTCTTTTTAATTGCATTAGCTTAAAATATTGTATCTTTTTGTTGTCTAAGAACCAGAGCCCTATGGTTTTCTCTTAATGTTAAATTGTCTATAATAATGAGTCAAAGTCATATTAGAAAATATTAGTACTCACATGGCCATTATCTATTATGCCCCATTGATGAACGCTTTGGGAGGGTGATGTTAAATCTTCTTCTATTTTATTTAGGAATCTCATTGGATATCATAGCACAGTCTACACATTTCAGTGTCTCCTGGGTGGCAGACCTCACAGAATGAAGCCAGGAGCCTTATGCTGAGAGAATAGGAATGTTCAATGGGTTCTTCCTTCATCAAGAAAAAAAGCACCCAGAAAACAAATAGCTAACAGCCATCTTGAAGCTATCTTGTGTGCTTGTCTCAGTAAAAAAACTAAACAGAAGGAGGAAAAAACAAACTTGACATGGTTAAAAAGCAGAGGCTGCTCATCTGGATTTATCTTGCGTTATGCTTTTTTAATCAAAAATTCTTCAAAGCTTACTGATTGTTTGGTTCATGAGGTGAAGGGCCTGTATCTTCAAAGAAAGAAGAGGCAAGATCTGCTAAAAGAGAAAGCCTCTCGTGATGATGTACTTACTGCCACTCAGACCAGAAAAGATTCTGGCCCTGATGCAGTTAATCACTTGGGCCATGAGTTGGTCACTGCTGTATCCTACGGAGAGCCTGAACAAGTAGAACTTTTGTTGAGTCATTCAACTGTAGAATTTCTGCTTCAAAGGCAACAAAGTCCTTTCCTCCAAGATATTAAAACATAGACTAACCAGGAATGATTTATGTATTTTAAGATACAAATAATACGGATTTTTTTAACACTATTACTAAATTATGTTTAAGGTCTTTGAGTTTAAAACTGTTAGGAGGACTCTCAGGCTATATAAATTACACAGGGCTCTCGGAGATCACAAACTGTCTAAAGAAAAAGGGTCATGAGGAAGGCACCATCTCTCCCCATGTTTTCATGACTGAATTTCCATAATTTATTTAGTTTCTACCAATGACAGAAGGCGGGTGGAGGAAGGAACAAGAAAGCTATCTTAAAAGGAGATACAACAGAGTAAATATTTTCCCAGTTAGAATCTTAGTGACTTTGAGGGGATTAAAAGAACCTACTGTGAATAATTATACATCAATAACTTGGATAATCCAGAAAAAGTATATAAATTCCTAGAAACATACAACCTATCAACTGAATCATGAATATAAAATCTGAACAGTTCATTAACTATTAAGGAGATTAAATCAGTAATTAAAAGCCTCCCAAAAAAGAAAAGCCCAGATGAGATGGTTGCACTGGAGAATTACACAAAACAATAAAAAAAAATAGTGCTAATTCTTCTCAGAATTTTCTAAGAAATAGAAGAGAAGAGAACATTTCCATACTTATTTTATGAGGCCAGCATTGTGGTGATAGGGATACCAAAGCTAGACAAGGACTACAAGAAAAGAAAACAACAGGCCAATATCCCTAGTGAACACAGATGCAAAAATTCACAACAAAATACTAACAAAGCAAATTTAACAGCATATTAAAAGTATCATACATCATGACGAAGAGGGATCTATTCCTGGGTTGCAGGGATGGTTCAACATACCAAAAGCAAATCAATGTAATACACCACATTAGTAGAATAAAGAGTGATCATCTCAATAGATGCAGGGGGTAAAAAAGTATTTTACTAAATTCAACCCCTTTTCATGATAAAAACACTTAACAAACTAGGAATAGAAAAATTACTTCAACATAATAAAGGCCATATGTGAAAAACCCAGAGCTAACAACATACTCAAAGGTGAAAAACTAAGAGCTCTTCCTGGATAATCAGGAACAAGGTATTAATGCTCACTCTTGCCACTTCTATTCAAGATAGTATTGGAAGTCCCAGCTAGAGCAATGAAGTAAGAAAGATAAATAAAATGCATCAAAGCCAGCAAAAAGTAAAAAAAATCTCTGTTTGCAGATGGCTTGATTTTATATGTAGAAAACCCTAAAGACTCCATAGCAAAAAAAAAAAAAAAAAAAAGTTGGAACTAATAAGCAAAAAAGTTGCAGGATACAAAGTCAACATACAAAAACAATTGTTTTTTTTTTTATTCCTGAAAAAAAGATATTAATAGTTTGATAAGGATTGCATTGAATCTGCTGATTGCTTTAGATAGTTTGGACATCTTAACAATATTAAGCATTCCAATTTGGAAACACAGGATGCCTTTCTATTTATCTGTGTCTTATTTAATCAGTATATAAGTTTTCAGTATATAGGTCTTTCAACTCCTTGGGTAAGTTTATCACTAACTGTTTTATTATTTTTGTTGATATTATAAATAAAATTGGTTTAATTTTTTATTTTTTTATTGTATATATCCATATGCAAAAGATTGAAACTGGATCCTTATCTTACACACAAAAATCAACTCATAATAGATTAAAGACCTAAACATAAGACCTGCAACTGTAAAATGCCTAAAATAAAACACAGGTGAAAAGCTTTAAAACATTGCTCTTGGCAATGATTTCCTGAATACGACACCAAAAGTACAGAAAAGAGGAAAATTGGACAAATAAGACTACATTAAACTAAAAAGCATATGTGCAGTAAAGGAAATGAGTGAAAAGGCAATCTATGGAATGAGAGAAAATATATGCAAACCATATATCTTATAAGAAATCAATAACCAAAATATATAAAAAACTCCATAACTCAATGGCAGAAACACAACTTGATTAAAAAGCGGGCAAAGAACTTGTTTAGACATTTGTTCCAAGAAATACAAATGGCCAACAAGTATATAAAAAGATGATCAATATCAGTAATCAAGCAAGGAAATGCAAATCAAAACCACAAGGAGGAGGGAAAGCAATGCGATATCAACCGACACCTGTTACGATGGCCATAACCAAAACACAAAATAACAACTGTCAGCAAGGATGGGAAGACATTGGAACCCTTGTGCACTTTTGGTGAGAATGTAAAATGGTGCAGCCACTGTGTGAAACAGTATGGAGGTTCCTCAAACAATTAAAAATAGAACTACCATATGATTCAGTATTTACCATGTGATTTCTGGTATTCACCCAAAGGAACTGAAAACTAGGACCCTGAAGAGGCATCTGCACTTCTGTGTTCGTTGCAGCATTACTCGCAATAGCCAAAGGGCAGAAACAACCTGTGTCCATTGACAGATAAATGGAAAAAGAAAATGTGGTATGTACATACAATGAAATATTATTCTTCCTTAGAGAAATAGGAACATCTTGTTATATGCTACAACATAAACCTTGAGGATATCATGCTAAGTGAAAGAAACCAGTCACAGGAGACAAACATTGCATGATTCCACTTCTATGAGGTACCTAAAATGATCAAGTTCATATAAGTAGAAAGTAGAACAGTAGCTGACAGGGGATAATAGGGCATAGGGAAGATAGGGAGTTGCTGTTCAATGGGTAGAGAGTTTCAGTCACGCAAGGTGAAAAAAGTTCTAGAGATCTTCCCTACAACAATGTTCATATTATTAACAATAGAGTCCTGCACACTTAGCAATTTGTTAAGAGGATAAATTACATGTTATGTTTTTTTTTAAATCTCAATCAAAGGAAAGAAAAAAAGAATCTTAGTGATTTTTAGAGCAGTGATTATTTCCCTGAATTATTTCCATGTTCACCCCATCATTAAAAAAAGAAAAATCCTTGGTTGTTCATTCAACCACAGAGAAGTGGTTATAAATCCCAACATATTGGTACTTTACTGTTAACACTGACTTGAGCAGACATCACTCATGATAATTCCTGTGTTTGCCATTTGCATTGTATCACCCTGACTTGTCCTGGTACGCACCAGCACCACTCTGCTCACTTGTTAATACACACATTTTCCACTGCACATGTTGGTTACAGGTCACTTTTTCCTTAAATTTAATTGCAACACTTAAGCATGGACTAACCAGGACTCATGTTTTTATTAATACATTTTTAAGAACCCATGATTGATATTCTTTTAGCCCTGGGGATGGGGATATGAAAAAAAACAAGAATCATGAAGTGGTCCAGAAAATTGCTCTGGACCATCCTGATTTCTCTCCTGTATTAATTCCTATTGAACTTACTATCCTTTCTATTGAATTTTAGTGCAGAATTGCTTTCTGATAGTGTCTATCTTTATTCTCTTTCCCCATTAAATCATCTCACTGTTACCTTACTTTCTAACACCACTTCCTGCACAGGTGTTGTGTGTCCCATAATCTCATTGCTTGAGTGATTTGAACTAATTTAACTCACATGACTGACAGTTCAGTGGAGGGTGTCCTTTTGACAGGGTGGAGAAGAAGCTTGACTGTAATATTGCTCAGCTGTACTGCTATGGACCTCATTTAAGACCACAAACACTTTTTCAATGATTTATTTAACTTTTTGAACAGATAATATATTCACAAAGCTCAAAAACTAAAAAGCACAAAAAGATGTGTGCTGCAATGTTTCCAACCTATTCTTGTTTGCCGTCTGCCTTTCATCCTCGCTCTACCCTCCATCCAGGTGACCCTGGGATGTAGACAGCAGTACCTAAAGTTTCCCAGACGCTTCTAAAGCAGAACATTGTTGTTTTCAGTTGTAAACAAGGAGGAGCCTGGTGTGATTTCAGGTTCCAGTTTCCAGATGTCGCCTCTCTGTCAGGGATCAAAACCACTTACAGTGCCAATTTCACTTGTCAAGCAATCAAACACTAAATAAACAAACCAAATGGATACTGAACACCCACGAGGTCTGTTTGTGTTATAGATTATGGAGAGGATAGGGATAAACAAGTAAATTATTAATCTTGAAACAGATATGTGGAAAACCATATCTACATTAAATTGTCAATAAAACTGCATTTTCTAATTAAGCAGGTGTGAGATTTCCATATATGCATTCACCCCCAACAACATATTTATTTAGGACTTGGCAGAAGTTTAGGTGTCATCAATGAGAATCCACTCATTTAACTAATGAGAAAACTGAAGTTCAGAGATGCATCAGGGTTTATAATTAAGAATATGAAGAGTATGGATCCAGCCAGACTTGGTTTAATCCAAGCTTGTCCAACCCACGGCCCACAGGCCCCATGCAGCCCAGGATGGTTTTGAATGCAGCCCAACACAAATTCTTAAAGTTTCTTAAAACATTATAGATTTTTTTGCAACATTTTTTAAGCTCATCAGCTATCGTTAGTGTATTTTATATGTGGCCCAAGACAATTCTTCTTCTTCCAATGTGGTGAAGGGAAACCAAAAGATTGGACACCCCTGGCTTAATCCTACCACTTAGCAGCTGTGTGACATTAGACAAACTACATAACTCCTATGTGCTTAAATCTTCCCATCTGCAAAATGGAAATAAGAATATATCCTTCATAAGACTGTAGTGATTAAGTGAGTTAACATATGTAAATAGCTAAGAAGGATGCTTGACATAGAATAAGCACCATAGAAGTGCAAGCTGTTATAGGTTAAGTGTCTTGTGAAAGATGAGAACAGCTGGGAGAGTCTAGAGAGGGTTACATGCTGATAAAATGATGTACTGAATTATCCATTACAAAGCATTAGAGGAAAATAAAATTCATAATAAGGTAATGTGCACATTGCACACGTGAAAAAAGAATTTAAGAAGGCTGGAGTAAAATAAGCAAATTACACTGATTTAGCTCATAAACAAGGAAATAAAAAAATCAATAAGGTGGACAAATAAGTAGGCTCTCATAAGCATCACTGGGCCAGGACAAAGGTCTCAGAGACTCCAAATCTACTCAGTTCTGGAAATGCTTCCTTTATTTATTTATTTATTTTTAATTTTCTGAGGGAAAATACAGAATGAAAAGGACGTATACTCACAGGTAAGTGCCAAATGTTTTGATAGGAAAACATTTTAAACACTAATTGACTTTGAATCACGTTTGAGTAAATTTTGGTCTTCATTGTATTTAAGTGATAGTCTAATTACTACCTATGATTTCAGAACTTTTACCAAATAAGAAAATAAAAACAATTAGCTATTGCTCATCTTTTTCTATGTGAGTGCTAACATAAATTTTTAAAATATAAAACAAAGTGAAAGATTAGTATAATTTTGCTTTTCATTTTAAAATAAATATAGCTTTCCGTTTAAACTGTCTTCAGATACATTTCTCTCAGTATCTAAAACAATTACTAAACAAGATACGTTTCAAAGTAAGAAGTCATGCTTTTATTAAAGAGAAAATGGATAATAATGTTCACAAGTACCACTGATTCACAATTTCTAGATTAGTTATATTTAAGTGATTGAACAACAAATAAGGAAAGTCTTAAAAATAAATATTTTTCTGCAGAAAATACACAAATATATTCCACTCTTGAGAGATCTCACCTTTGCATAATATAAGACACTCATCTGATGCAGTTAGCCTATAGATCCTTTAATGACCTTACAGCCAAATCTAATCAAGCTTAGATTGCAACAGAAAGTAAAGGACACACTCCTATTTTATCAAAATGTGAATGCTGAGAAAAAGAGAAGAGGGAATAATATGCCTTTTAAATTTATGATAAGATAATTAGCAACCTTGCTAATGTAGTTCTTCAAACATTAAATCCTCGTTTTCATTCTTCTTCCCTACCAAATTTAATATACTATGAGAACTCTTTAGCTTAATTATGAAAATAATAATAATAGAGTTAAGGGTCTGTCAATCCAGCTTAAGCCCCTATCTAGAATTTAGAACCTGGCATCCTAATTAAACTGCAAATACTTTATTTACAAAGTTATTGTTTATACATTGTAATGAATTAATCTGATTGAATCTCTGACTGATTATGGGCTACCATGTATATTTTCAAAGCAATGAGAGGGGCATACAATTGCATTTCCAACATTCAGTCGCTCAGCATAATTAGAGAAAGTAACTATAGACGTCAATAATCAATGTGCACTTGCACCCTGGAGACCTGGGCACCATTACGATTCCAGGAACCTCTTTGAGTTGTCATTTTAATTATTTGCATATTAAGATCTCTGCAGGCAGGCAATACTTCAAAAGATAGGCCAAAACAGCTCCTTCAAATGTTATTAAGTTCAACATTGCCAAATATATTTTAGTTGCCAATTTTGAAAACCAAAGAGATTATTTAAAGTCTATCACAAAACTGTTACAGTGAGAAGACTGAGTTAACTACCTGTGACCCTAGGCCATCAGTGCAGACCTGGGGTTGCTGAAGATTTGGAAAAGTGAATCAAAATTTTTTTTTCTGGAAAAAATAATAAAAAGTAACAATACCTACCATCATACAACTACAATAAAATAAATGCTTTACAAATAATGTCAAATAATAGATACTCCATAAATTCTGGTGAATCTTTGTTATTATAAGTAGTAGCAGAGGCAACATCAACATTCACATTCCTGATTCCCATAGCACTGCTTTTTCTATGAATTAATGTTGTTTCCTCAACTAGACTGAAGAATTAATAAAAAGTCCTATTTTACCTTAAGTACAAAGTGTTTTGTCTACATGCTAATTAAGTACGCCAAATTGTTTTCTATGCTTCTAGAAGACAAATAATGATTTATGGGTCCTAAAGAGCACTTGGAATAGTGCTGGATCCACAGTAAATGTCCAGTAATTGGTTATTTATTGCTTGATATAAGTAAGCACACAAAATGAAGGATTCAATGTTAAAGAATCAAACAGAGATTTATGAGTGTGATCAAACAGAGTTACTATGTTGGAGGTAAATTTAATTCTTGTATATTTCAAATATATGTCAAATATTTCTGGGACATTTTGAATTGACTTTCCTCTCTGTGAATGGCAACACTACCCAACATCTATGGTAAGCCTCATTTTCTCTTATCCCCAACAATGCCTCACACACACAATGAACAAGAAATGAGAAACAATGTGGTCAGGCTTTCTGTCATAAAATCTGATTATAGAGCAGGATTTGCTATGCAGAAGAATTTAGAGGAAGTCAGAGCCACAAAGTGTGGCTGTGCCACCAAACTACATTTTTTTCACACACAAAAAAGAGAAAGTAGAATAAGAGGCTGAATGGAAAGGAGAAATAACATAGACAGTACTGAGTACTTGTTAACATCCAATATATAAAAGAGCTACCTGAATAAACAGAGAAAAATATGACTATAGTATTATTATTGCTACAATTCAAACCCTTTGAGTGTGTGTGTGTGTGTGTGTGTGTGAAAAATAGATACACAAAAATATCAAATGTGGCTATTTATAGATCTTAAATACTTAAAGGGTATGATTATTACACCTTGGCTCCTTCTCACTCACATTTTAAAGATGTAGGGAAAGGTGATGCCTAAAAAGACTACCATTCCTAAAATCTTATGATTTCACAATTTTCTGCATAGAAGTAGTTGCTTTTAAAACTCTAGTATGTATTTGAGCTGTATGACTCCCTGAGAATGGAATATGCTAGGATCCAGTAAAGGGATATTGAGGTTTGGCCTAAGGGCTAAACAAATAAATACGTTGAGGCCAGAGGCATAGTCAAAGGTTAGCTCCTTGGTAAGAAAATAGATAATCCCCCTCTGAAAACTCCAGGTGAATCTAGGGCCCAGAAAAAAATACCCACTTCTCCAGGGTCATGCAAGGCTAAAACAGACCAGCCTAGGAGCATGGATACAAACTGGACTAGCAAGCACCACAACCTCAGAAATTAGAATTTGGTGAGGCAGCTTTTCATTAGTAAGATGAATAACAAGAGGGAATACTTGTTTTAAAATTGCATCAAGCTAACTGAAAAAGAAAGATTAGGTGCAGGCATCCACAATTTGTTATTATGTTTTTCAATCTTGGAGACCGGAATTCTCCTGTGCTTTGAATTAACAGCACGCAAGTGATACACTATAGAGAAGAAAAGTCAAAAAATTAGTAAATCAATAGGGCTGCCTTTATATAACTTGCCACCATAATTTTTCCCTGGATGCTTCCAACGTATCTATAGTTTTGTTTATTCATTTGGCAAAATAGGGCACCCACATCCTTGGCACAGTTCATGGGCTTGAATTGTAACCGGGAAGAAGACAAATATAATTCCTGCTGTGATACTGTGATTTAAAATGAGATATATACATTTGGTCTTCACTCCCTTCTCCTGACATATAACTCTTAAAATCTTTGAAATCTCTGGAGTGATAAGAATATCATTTGTATGCTAATGAATGTTTGCTGGCTGGCAGCCTCTAGATAGCTTCAGAATGGGGGCCAGTCACCAAGACCAAGACAGAATTAGAGGGTTAAAACTTTCAGCCCCACCACCAACATCCAAGTAGGTGAGAAAGGCTGAAAGCTAAGTTGATAACCAATGACCAATGATTTAATCAATCAGGCCTATGTAATGAAGCTTCCATAATAACTCAAAAGGACTGGAGTCAGGGAGCTTCCTGACAGCTGAACATGTGGAGGATCCCAGAGAGAGTATGGCAGCTCTGTGCCCCTTCTTCCGTACATCTTCATCTGACTGTTTATCTGTATCCTTTGTAATATTCTTTATAATAATCAAGCCAAATGTAAAGTATTAAGTGTTTCCCTGACTTCTGTGAGCTGCTCTCGCAAATTAATGGAACCCAAGGATGGGGTCTACAGCCAGTCAGTCAAAACCTGTGCTTGCAACTGGCATTGGAAGTCGGTCGGGAGGCACTCTTCTGAAAATGATCCTTCAACTTAAGGGATCTAACACTTTCTGCTGCTAGACTGTGTCTGAATTGACTTAAATTAGAGAACACTTGGCAGGTGTCTGTTGGAGAACTGCTGGCTTGATGTTTGGGGGAAAACCCCCACACATCTCATGTTAGAGGTATTGTGTTGGCTCTGCAAGAGTAGGAAAGCCACTTTGACTCTTCCCACATATCTTACATCTGCTCTCATGGAAATTACAGTGGCTATAGACAGAGAATGAATTCTTAAACTTAAGAAAAACAATATAGTTTCAGAGAGTGATCCATGATTGGAGCTGTAAAGAAACCAGAAGATGTGGTTGAGAGGGACTGGGGGAAGGGAAAGAGGGGCCACAGGTTGGTGGATTCTTTAATTAGATGGGCTAATTGGAACATCCTCACTAAAAAGGTAGCATCTGAGCTGAGAGTGAAATGACAAGAACAAGCTAGTCATGTAATCTTCTGGGGACAGTTTTACAAATAAAAGTAAAAACAAGTATGAAAGCCCCAACTAGGAACAACTTAAAGTATGTAAGAAAAGCAAAGACAGGTAAAGCCAATGAGCCAGTGAAGGAAAGTGAGGTATGATGCAGCCTGGAGTCACAGATCATTTGGCCTGAAAAAGGAGTTGAAATTTAGACATTAGATGAAAAGACTATTCTAGCCATCTTGCTACTAGATGATGGTGGCCTGACTAATGCATCACCTGTGAAAATGAAAAGACCCATATAAATTCGGGATACATTTTGGAAGTGACCCTAAGTAATCCTTCAATTGTTGGGGTGATTATGTATGTTTGTGTTTTAAAGTGCGGTTCAGTGAGGGATCAGATGACTCCTAGGTGTATTTCGCTTGAACAACAAGGCATATACTAATGATATCTATTGAGAAGAAACTTCGGCAGAAATTATGAACTAGAAAATGGAGAATGGATAGCTCTGTTTTGGTCTTGAGAAGTTTGAGATAGCTCTTAGACATCCCAGTGGAAAGGTCAAGCAGAGGGTTTTTTACATAAATTAGGAGCTCATTGCAGAGATCAGGATTAGAGATATACATTTGGGATTCATCAGCATTTAGATGGCATTAAACGCCACAGTACTGAATCACCTTCAGAAAGATTACAGTCTTTCAGACCAGCATTTGGAAGCCAACAGAGCAGAAGTCAGCAAGAAAGGCCAAGAAGAGCAGTAGGTATGGAGGAGAACATAGCATCATGATGCCACAGCAGAAAGTGTTTGAAGAAGAAAAGAACTGTCAACTTTGTGACTTGCTACCGCTGAGTAAAAAAATGAGGACAGAAATGTGATCACTGGATTTGGCGCATAGTGACCTTGGTAACAGTCTATTCAATCAAGAATGGCAAATAGCCTGGAAGAAACTGTTGAGGTCGATGCGTATGATACAATGAATTAAAATACATCAATATTTCTAGCAAAGAAATACTATCATTTTTACCTATACTTCAATTCATCCCTGATTTCATGAATATCACAATATAGAATTTGGTTATAATTTATTGTTTCATAGCAGTTAGTTTTTTGAAGCTGTGAAAACTCACAATAATTAGCAGCAAATAATTAATGTGCTTATAAAATACTCTGGGGAAATATGCCCTGACACTTAGTATCCCAAATGGCATTACTCTTAAAAGCAATACATGTGACCCTCTGGCTATAATAGTAAAAAATAATTTTTAAAAATGAAGAACAAAGTAAACTCTTTTAAAGACTTACTTTCAAATGTCACAATAGCAATAAATTATTGATTTCCACATCTAAAATTAATGTTTTTATTTATTTATTTATTTAGTTTTTTAATTGATCGTTCTTGGATGTTTCTCACAGAGGGGGACTTGGCAGGGTCATAGGACAACAGTGGAGGGAAGGTCAGCAGATAAACAAGTGAACAAAGGTCTCTGGTTTTCCTAGGCAGAGGACCCTGCGGCCTTCCGCAGTGTTTGTGTCCCTGGGTACTTGAGATTAGGGAGTGGTGATGACTCTTAACGAGCATGCTGCCTTCAAGCATCTGTTTAACAAAGCACATCTTGCACCGCCCTTAATCCATTTAACCCTGACTGGACACAGCACATGTTTCAGAGAGCACAGGTTTGGGGGTAAGGTCACAGATCAACAGGATCCCAAGGCAGAAGAATTTTTCTTAGTACAGAACGAAATGAAAAGTCTCCCACGTCTACTTCTTTCCACACAGACAGGGCAACCATCCGATTTCTCAATCTTTTCCCCACCTTTCCCCGCTTTCTATTCCACAAAACCGCCATTGTCATCATGGCCCGTTCTCAATGAGCTGTTGGGTACCCCTCCCAGACGGGGTGGTGGCCGGGCAGAGGGGCTCCTCACTTCCCAGTAGGGGCGGCCGGGCAGAGGCACCCCTCACCTCCCGGACGGGGCGGCCGGGCAGAGGCACCCCTCACCTCCCGGACGGGGCGGCTGGCCGGGCGGGGGGCTGACCCCCCCCACCTCCCTCCCGGACGGGGCGGCTGGCCGGGAGGGGGCTGAACCCCCCGCCTCCCTCCCAGATGGGGCGGCTGGCCTGGCGGGGGCTGACCCCCACCTCCCTCCCAGACGGGGTGGCTGCCGGGCGGAGGGGCTCCTCACTTCTCAGACGGGGCGGCTGCCGGGCGGAGGGGCTCCTCACTTCTCAGACGGGGCGGTTGCCAGGCGGAGGGTCTCCTCCCTTCTCAGACGGGGCGGCTGGGCAGAGACGCTCCTCACCTCCCAGACGGGGTCGCGGCCGGGCAGAGGCGCTCCTTACATCCCAGACAGGGCGGTGGGGCAAAGGCGCTCCCCACATCTCAGAAGATGGGTGGCCGGGCAGAGACACTCCTCACTTCCTAGATGGGATGGCGGCCGGGAAGAGGTGCTCCTCACTTCCTAGATGGGATGGCGGCCGGGCAGAGACCCTCCTCACTTTCCAGACTGGGCAGCCAGGCAGAGGGGCTCCTCATGTCCCAGACGATAGGCGGCCAGGCAGAGACGCTCCTCACTTCCCAGACGGGGTGGCGGCCAGGCAGAGGCTGCACTCTCGGCACTTTGGGAGGCCAAGGCAGGCGGCTGGGAGGTGGAGGTTGTAGCGAGCCAAGATCACGCCACTGCACTCCAGCCTGGGCACCATTGAGCACTGAGTGAACCAGACACCGTCTGCAATCCCGGCACCTCGGGAGGCCGAGGCTGGCGGATCACTCGCGGTTAGGAGCTGGAGACCAGCCCAGCCAACACAGCAAAACCCCGTCTCCACCAAAAAAATACGAAAACCAGTCAGGCGTGGTGGCACGTGCCTGCAATCGCAGGCACTCGGCAGGCTGAGGCAGGAGACTCAGGCAGGGAGGTTGCAGTGAGCCGAGATGGCAGCAGTACAGTCCAGCTTCGGCTTGGCATCAGAGGGAGACCGTGGAAAGAGAGGGAGAGGGAGACCGTGGGGAGAGGGAGACCGTGGGGAGAGGGAGAGGGAGAGGGAGAGGGAGAGGGGTAATTTTGTATTTTTAGTAGAGATGGGGTTTCTCCATGTTGATCAGGACAGTCAAACTCCCAAACTCAGGTGATCCGCCCGCCTCGGGCTCCCAAAGTGCGGGGATTACAGGCATGAGCCACTGTGCCCGGCTAACTCAGGATTTTTCCCTTTGCTGATGTAGCCTGACAGCAGGAGGGAGCCTATAATAATGAGAAAGGCGCGAATCAAAAACAGCACAGTGGCAAGTGCGATGGCCTTATAAGGGATCTTAGGAGGGGTTTTCTTAAACTGAAGGTCCATGTAGCCATCGTCTGTGCTGGAGAGCCTTGAATATTTCACTTTACTACTGGGGATTCCAGTAGCCAGGTTGGTACGGGACGGCATCATAACAGGCTGACACAGCGGAGCGCCGCGCCAGGCCGCCCGCACACCCAGAGCTCGCCCACGGTTGGCAGCGCCCAAGGTTGCACGGCATGGCCCGCTTAAGTGCCACTCAGCCCTAATGTTTTTATTTATGAAGTAACTTAACTTTTGGTAACATAATATATAACTTCTCTTTCACAGATTATTTTATTTTTTTAGAATTCTAGAGTTTGAATGAATCCAATTAAGTGTGCTCTGTGTGTCTTCTCAGCCTGCCCTTAGCAAGACTCACAATGTGAGTTCTGTTCTACTTGCTATCAGGAGAAACCGCACAGGAACCCAAAGAATACTGCCTGCTGGAAAAAAAAAAAAAAAAAAAAAAAAAAAAAAAGCTCATTTCTTCACAAAGTCTCTGGCTGTGGCAAATAGAACACACCATCCGTTTATAGAGTCTGCTAATTGGCACTAGGGCATTGTCTGGGCTTGCACTTCTTTACTGGCAAATGCAGCTCATTTTTATTTATGCTCTTCAATAGATTCAGCTACCAATACATACAGATTTGGATTATGAAAAATTATCTAGGCAGGTAAAAGGAATTGAAATTTCAGACAGTTCAGTGGATTAGGAGGGAGGGTGAGGTAGGCCCAAACTACCTTGAAGAAGGAGTATTTTGTGAAAATGAGCCAAGCCCCATGTTCACTTTTGAATAATAAAAACACTCATCCACATGCCGACATGACACAGGGATTTTATTGTGAATTGTCACACACGGTAGTTTTATTAGTACCTATTCAACACTAAGCTAATTTAAAAGCACTTGAAACCTTGGGCAGACGTTTTTAAATGAAAAAAAAAAAAGTTCAAAAAGCTCTGCATCATATACTATCTACTATAAATAAAATAAGACTCAGTTCTTCTGAGCCCTGAAACACATTCATTTCCACATGAGCTGCCTGCACCAAGGATCACTTTCATCATTCTCTAGGGCAACACAGTTCCCTGTTCTGTCAGAACTTTATGGCATTCACCCTTTTGCCTAGTTTTCACTGCTTGGTCCATTTATAATACATCTCCTCCCATACTAGATTCCTATAAGAGGTCTCATTTAATTTCTTTTAAAATTAAATTAATACAATTAACTTTGAAAAACTGGTAGTCTTTACTAAATCTCAACATAAGCATACTCCATGGCCTAGACTTTTCACTCTTAAGTATAGACCCAGCAGAAAAAACGACACACACATCCACCAAAAGACATGCACTAAAGTGTTCGTAGCAGCGCTATTTATTTGTATTACTTTTATTTTTATGTTTTATTTTTGTGGGCATATAGTAGGTGTATATGTTTATGAGGTACATGAAATGTTTTGATGCAGGCATGCAATATGAAATAAGCACATCATGGAAAATGGGGTCTCTGTCTCCTCAAACATTTATCCTTTCGGTTACAAACAATCCAATTATACTCCTTAAGTTATTTATAAATGTACAATTAAGTTATTAAAACAAATATGTGTGGTCAAATAAAGAGTAGAATGGATAAAATTCTCACACAATGGAAACTGTAATACAATGAGAATGAACAATCTACAACTTCATGCAACAAGGATAAATCTCAATAATAGATTGTTGAGCCAAACATGTCAAATAACAGATCACAGTGAATTATTTCATTACATAAAGAACAAATACCTTATCCTGACTAATATACCAGGTCTGAGTAAAATAATTGGGAAATTTTAGCCAATGTAAACATGTCTAATTCCCTTTTTATAAGTACAAAACCAGTCACAATTAGACTATGTTCCTAGAAGAAAGTATTAGTTATCCTTACTGTGGGAGCTAATGAGTAGAGGGGGCTTGAGGGGCTTCTGAAACTCTGGTGTTATTCTTGCATCTGGGTACAGATTACACAAATGTGTTCAGTTTGTCAAAGTTCTTCAGAGTGTATAAATATGTTAAGATATGTACACATTTCTGTCTTTAGAATACAGTTTGAAAACAATTTTAAAACCCTTAAATTTCTAAAACTTGTTTTTAAAACATGGACGTTACACCTACCCTCATATTTGGACTGAATTTCCAGCCTTGTAACAAGAGAGCATTCTCCGGAATATGAATAGAACTGGTGGCAGACTATTCATGTCATGCGAACAGTTAGTTTGCTTTCTAAACTAGATTGTACTTTTCCCAAGAGCAGGAGCCATTTCTTTTGTGTCTGTTCATGTGTCTGTTTTGTGCACAGATGCACAGAGAAACAGCGTTCTGAGTGACGCTGATTGTTCACATTGAGTAGCAGTGGCGGGCAAGCAAAAAAGAGCAGGGCTGAAATTTGGAAGGCTTTAAATAATAACTGGTTTCCAAGTTTGGATGCCATCTTCTAGGCAACAGTCAACTGTAAAGATTTTGAGTGAGGCAATAACATAAGGAAAATATTATTTTAGGCATGCATACGTACTAGAATCGAGAAAATCAATGCCAGCAGACCAGTCAGCAGGCTTAGTTTAAGCCTAAACTAGAATGATCCTGGCACCAATGGAAAAGAGGGATGGGCATATATGAAAAAAAGTCAGACAAAAATAATCTATAGAGCTTTGAAAGTGATAGAGGTCAAGAGAGTTGTAAGTTCTAAAGTGATTGAGTTTTGCAGACTGAGTGAGAGCTTAATAGAGGAAGGAAAACCTTATGGATTAATTGATTTGGGAAGACACTGAAAAAATGACATAATGGGCCAGGTGCGGTGGCTCACACCTGTAATCCTAGCATTTTGGGAGTCCACGGTGGGCCGATCACCTGTGGGTCAGGAGTTCGAGATCCACCTGGCCAACATGGCGAAACCTCATCTCTACTAAAAATGTAAAAATCAGCCAGGCATGGTGGCAGGCACCTGTAATCACAGCTACTCCAGAGGGTGAGGCAGGGGGAACTGCTTGAACCCAGTAGGCAGAGGTTGCAGTGAGCCAATGTCGCACCACTGCACTCCAACTCCAGCTTGGGCGACAGAGTGAGATCCCGTCTCAAAAACAAACAAACAAACAAACAAAAAGACATAACGAATAGCCAAAGTTGGAGCTCAATGCAGAACTCATACAAAGTACAGGACTCAGATTTCATATATTAAATGTTTCTGTTTTCCTCAGGGTATTAAAAATACTAAAGAGGCACAGAGATATAGTGAGAAAGCATGAGAAGATTTAGAAATGCTAAACATCATCAAAATTAAAAACACTATTTCTGTGAAAGGATAGACTGAGAGGAAAATATTTTCAAATCACAAATCTGACAAAAGACTTGAATTCAGACTATATAAGGAATTCTCAAATGTCAACATTCAGAAAACCTACAAATCAATTTAAAAGTGGACAAAATAATTAAACAGACACTTCACCAAACAGGCTATATGGGGGCAAATAAACACAGGAAAAAAAGTTTAGCATTAGTCATCAGCAAAATGCAAAATAACACCACAATGAAATGCAAATTAACACCATGTTCTATACATATATTACAATGAATAAAATGAAAAACACTGATAGTACCAAGTCCCGACAAAGATGTGGAACAACTAGAACTCTAACACATTGCTGGTGAGAATGCAAAATGGTACAGTTCCTCTGGAAAACAGTTTGGCAGTATCCTATAAAATTAAATATATACTTACCATATGTCCCCAAGATTCTACTTTTAGATGTTTATCCAAGAAAAATGAAAGCATGTATCCAGAGAAAGATTTGTATATGAATGTTTACAGTTGTTCTATTTATAAATTTATCAGGTACATGGATAAACATACTGTGGTACCTCCCTACAATGGAATAATACATACCAATAAAAAGGAGCAATCTATTTACAGAGAGAACTTGCATATATCTCAAAGGTCAAGCTGACAGAAACAAGCTAGTCTCAAACAGTTCCACATGTTATGATTACATTTATACGACATTCTCAAAGAGACAAAACTATAGTTACAGAGAAATGGTCAGTGGATGCCATGGGTAAAGGTGGGAGAAGAGTATATCTACAAAAGGACAGCAAGAGGAAGTATTGTTGGGCATTGGAACTGTTCTTGTATCCTGACTGTAGTGGTGGTTATACAAAACTGCACGTGTTAAAATTCACAGAACTTCATATACCACTCAAAAAGTCAATTTTCTTATATGTTAATTTAAAAAAATCTTCTAAGGAAATGCACAGATAGAACATAAAGCAACCATTTAAATGTCAGTATTCTTTTGTATTTTTACTGTTATTTATCTAAGAGTATCTAAAAATTCCACAGTAATAGGACAAGTAACTTACTAGATACTCCAGTATGCCTATAAAAATTACATAAAAACAAATTTAAGAAATTGAACTTTTTTGCCAAACAACTGAAATTTAATTTATACCAGATTATACAAAATACTTAATGTAAAACTAGTTACCAAACCTAATTAGCAAATGTACAGTAATTGACCTAATTGGCAAATTTCTTATTATTTATTGAGATCACTGACTACCCAGCTGGGCTTACTAAAAAACTGAGAAGTAGTCAAAAGACTAAAGAAAAAAAATCCAAATATATTGAACATGGGAGGGATTTTGCTCTTAAATTTAAGATTCTCTGTAATCAACTGTGAAAATCTGAATACATTTGTTTTCTAGGTGAACAAGGGACAATAATAAATCATAACTGTCAATTTTGCTCAAAATATGGTTTAGGAGTACATTTTGGACTTCTCAGGCAGTTAATTGGTTTTGCAGTTTTGAAGGATGTGGTGCTCAGTTTTTGAGGGGTTGAAAACAACTCAACTGCTAGAATTTCAGGAGGAAAACAATAACTATAACAAAATTCACAGTGGCTTTTTAACTAAGGTGACTTTTTTGGAAAGTTACCCTAAATGATCTGACCAGTTTCATGTATCATAATGATTTTGAATTGAGATAAGAATAATTGGTACGTGATCTCAGAAAATCTGAATTTGAAGGACGCCAATAACAAACTAGATAACCACTGGCAAATTAGTAAACCTCTTTGATCCTCAGTTTACTCATTTGTAAAATAAACTATCTGTATTAGATAAGAAGTTCTAATCTTTACTATATTACATATATCTCTGTGTGCGTATCTTAGATTCCTAAGCAGGGCCCAACCCAGGTCTGAGTTGGGGCTCAGGGGTGCATCATTGTAATAGGAGCCTTTGTGGTGCTGAGGCAGATGGTCCTTAGTGCACGCCTTTAGAAACACTGGACCAGAGAGACAGTCCCTCACTCTTGCAGCTTTAACACTTGAATGCAGTCAGTGTCTTCTTAGCCTACTTTTGTGTCATCCCTCTTTTCTCTTTAGCAGAGACCAGACTATTAGATTTGTCTTCTTTCATATCAGAAAGGCAAAGAAATTACTATGGTTTTCCTTAGACCTGTATTTTCTGAGAATAATATAGACAACCTCAGACAGCCCAGGGTGAGCTTCCTTTTCAAAACTGCTTTCAGATGGGATGTCTTCTACCTCGTAGGTTCACCTTCCCTGTAATTTCTGTAATTCAAACAGGCCTCATAAACCACAACTGATCTTTAAGAAGTCACCTTTCAGATTGTCTCCCAAAAAAAATTTAAACTCCTAAGTGAAAGATGAAGTAATATGATATAAAAGAAAATCTAATGATACCCTTAAAATAAGATTTTACTCAGGCAAACTAAAAGGCCTACTAAAGAAAATTATCTTTGACCTTTACTTTCGATTTCTTATGTAATCCTACCCAGTTGCTTTTCCAACAATAAGAGAAAAATTACATTTAAAAATATTTTGATATTTATTTAAGGGAATTCTACTATTGGCTCTCAAAGGAAGTTTTAATTTTATTTGAAAGGCAAAGCAAATTTTAGATTAATCTTAGCCTCTGAGTTTAAAAATGCAAATGTTTCCAATAATAATGATAATTGACATGCCAGCACATGACATTTGCTTTGAGAATATTAAAGCTGAGGAAATATGGATATAAACATTCAACATTAAACTTTGAGATAATTATATTAATCCTAAATGAATAATAATTCTTCAAAAATAAAAATAATCTTTAAATGCTAAAAGAATCAACATAATCACATTTATTTATGCTATGCAAGTATACATACTGTGTGGAAGAATCCAGAAGCAGGGTTGATACCTGACACTCTAGCCAGAATCTGATGAGACTGATAGTTTGGAACTCAGTCCCTTTCCTTACAAACTAGGTTGTCTTGGGCAAGTAATTTAACTTTGCTGAGCCTCATTTTCTAAATCTATAAAATAATAACAACCTATCAAATCTTTCTGCATTAATCACATGTTAAATGAGGATAAAGACACCTTTTAATTAGAATTTTCAAATATCTAAACTGTGGTGCTTGCAAAGTTTCACATTCTTTTCACGTTTGTAAAATTGAAAACATTTTACTAGTCCCCATAAATCTGAAAAAGAATTTCTAATTCTAGTTTTCGAAATTCAAAAGAAAAAGAGGCACGTTTCTGTCTTATTAATGTATGGTTTTCTTCTTGTTTTCCTTCGACGGTCGTCTGTAACCTCCCTTTTGTTTTGTTTAGGTTTTTAATCGACAAATAATAATTTTACTTATTTATAGGGTACAATGTGTTGTTTTGATGTATGATTAAATCAGGGTAATTAACAAATCCAATGCTTCATATACTTACCATTTTTTTGTGGTAAAAACATTTAAAATCTACCCCCTTAGCAATTTTGAAATATACAGTGCATTATGATTTATTATAGTCAGCATTCTGTACAGTAAATCACTAAAGCTTATTTCTTCTATCTATGGAAACTTTGTACTCTTTAATCAACATTCCCCTTTTGCCATCCAACTCCCCACCTCCAGCCTCTGGTAACCACCATTCTACTCTTTATGACTTCACCTTTTTTAGATTCCACCCGTAAGTGAGATCATGCAGTATTTGTCCTTTTACACCTAGCTTATTTCACTTAGCATAGTGTCCCCCGATTTCATCCAAGTTGTCAAAAATGACAGGATTTCCTCCCCTTTTAAGGCTGAATAGTATTTCATTATGCATATATACCACATTTTTTTAATCCATTTATCAGTTGATGGACACCCAGGTTGCTTCCATGTAATCTTGACCTAAGTTACAAATTTGCGAACTCTTTAGATTCTTATATCCTTAGTATATGAGAAATATTTAAATCAATAAAGCATCATAATTGTAAAAAAAAAAAAAAAACAGAAGAACAAATATGACTGTGGCAGCATCAATAGAAACCAATTGGTTTGTGTAAATTAAAAAAAAAATCAGATAAAACTGAAATCAGTCACTTAGAACAATATTTTAAAATCAGTATCCTGAGCATATGGTCATGTCTGGGTTTTCATTTCCAAAAGAGTAAATCCCTGAAGATACTTTGCATATTTTTATCCTCTCAGTTAGACTTTGCTCTTTAAAATAAAACCTACCCTGGTTAACACCGTATCTCCAGAGAAAAACACAATGCCTGCTACTTAATAGGTGTTAACTTTTTATGTAATTGATGAATGAACCAATGAAAAATGTATAATAATTCTTAAGAAACAACAAGTAGTGTTATCTACTCATAGCCAAGTGAAAGGACAACTAAATATTCTGAAGAATAGCGCAAAAATTGTGCTTACCCCTTTAAAATACAAGTGATATCAATCGTTTACTAGTTCCAAACAAAGCACTTTCTTTGCATTTGCTTGAGGCAGTAGAGCATAATGGTTTGGGGCAGGCATACTTTTTGGGTCAGATGAGAATGGGTTAGAATCCAGGCTGTCCTTATAAACACCATTAACTTGGGCAAGTACTTTCATTTGTTGAGACTCATTTTCTTTCTTGCAAAACTGGGAAAATCAATTTTAACTTATGACGCTACTGAAAGATTTAAATGGCAACATTTTACTGGCTATTTGTTAAGTTGCATACCTGAGAGGACTCCTAGCCCTAAGAGTGAAAAATTAAATCAATATTATTTCTGAACAACTTTACTTAACAATTATAAGAGCTGAGTAAGAAAGAAAGAAAATTTGTATTATATGAGATGCATACAAAATATTTTAGCATAAACCAGAAATATTTTTGCATAAGCCAAGAAAAGAGACAAAATGTTAACAGATTTAAGTGGTTAGAAATGTGCTTGACATTCATGAAAATGCAGTATTCCTTATACAAAAATAACAATTTAGTTTTATTAGGAAATACAGAAAACTTGAATAGAAATCTATTTCAGAAATACACTCAGAAATACTTAAATATGAATCCACAGTGAGCTGATTTATTTTGGGCATTAATTAGGTATTCTATTACATTATCAATCTTTTGATATTCTGCATTGCTGGCCTCATAAGACTGTTGCCTGAGTGAAACACATCTAAAGACTACCTCAATCTACCTTAAAGTTAAGGAGTAGCAGAGAACAAATGGCTGAATAAAGAGCTCCTCACATTTTATAAAACATTTCATTGTCTACTGCAAGCTACTTAGCTCAATTTAAATACTGAAATCCATCTTTAGCCTTCCAAATTATGTTTCTTATCAGCAATGTTAGTGTAGGTATTACTCTGAAAACTATTATAAACAGTGTAAAAAATATGTATGTAAGTCATGAAAATCATTCTGTTTCCCATAATGAAATCAAAAGCTCATTGCGTGTGGATGAAAGAAAAAATTGAGAGAACAGAGAGATGGTTTTAAGGAATATTTTGGTGATACTGCAAACCAACATGTAATGTTTTAAATTTATCATTAATTCTTCTTGATATTGCTTAGAATTCCAGCCATGTAGGACCTAAAAGAATTGTTCTGGGTTGAATTGTGGCACCCCCTCAGAGAGTATGCTATAAGCCTAACCCTCAGAACTTCAGAATGTGACCTTATATGGAAATAACGTCTCTACAAATGTTAAAATGAGGTCATTTGTGTGGGCTCCAATCCAGTATGACTGGCGTCTTTATAAAAAGGTGAAATTTGGTCACAGGGACAGACATGCACAGAAAGAAGATATTGTGAAGACACACCGGGAGAAGCTGGCTGTATGACTAGAGTGACGCATCTGCAAGTGAAAGAACACCAAGGACCACCAGGGAAAACCAGAAGTTAAAAGAAGCAGAGAATAATCATCCTAGAGTCATCAGAGGGAGCACTGCCCTGTCAGTACCATGATTTCAGACGTCTATCCTCCAGAACCGAGACAATAAATGTCAATAAACCACCAATGTCTTCAAACTTTGGTACTGAAGCCCTAGGAAACTAACACAGGGACATTCCAGAGCTTACAGTCCCATAAGCCAAAACACTGAGGTGAAAAAAGGTGAAATCTTGCTGACCAAGATCTTACAGTTACTTCAGACAGAACTCTAGAATCAAGAGCCTGGTTTTCTTGACTTTAAGTTTAGGCCTGTCATTTCCCCTTGGAGAACTGACAGATTGGAAATGCTAAATTTTAAAAAAGTTCATCAAGTTAATTCCTTTAAGCTATTTTATTTAGTGACTTCTGTTTAAACTAAAAATAAATACTGTGACTCTGCCCTTTTGATTTTTTTCTAAGTAGCCATGCTCCAATTTCTGAAGCCTTTTTAATCTAAAAGATAAAATTGAAATTCTTATTAACTTAGTTGATACTTCATTTTTATCTCATGATCCCTTTACTATTACATGCAAGAGGATGTGAAATTTAAAAACTATGATTAAAATTTTACAACAAAAACTATGAGGAAAAGGAAAGTGTCATAAAATACCATCAGTTATTTTAGTTAAATAGTCATTTTCTCATAATGTTTGAATTATTGTAACCTCCCCTAAGGTATCAATATTTTTAACACACAGATATCACGGAACATCTCCTTTCTGATGTTACTTGTAGGAACAATTATTTATTTAACTAATTTTTGAAACCGATGAGGCCAGAGAAAGATCTTCATGCATCTTTGCATCTCTAGCATCTAGGGCCACACCAAACACAAAGTTGGTGTTCCATAAAGGATGAATAATACATCAATTCAACAAGTATCTATTTATCAGATACTATGAGCTAGACAGTCCTCTATATGCTGAGTATAGGATAATAAAGAAAACACATAAGAATGCTTGTCATTATTGAGCTTATGTTCTAGTGAGTACAGACAGAGAAGAAATAAGATAATTAAATTAGACGGTATATTGGAAAGTAATTCTCCTCAGAACTAAGGAGAAAAATAAGGCGGGGAGCAAAATTTAGGGAATATGGTTGTTGCTATTTTAAGTAGGGTGGGAGGGGAAGGTTGTAGAATTTCAACTTGACATTTGACACTTGAGCAAAATATTAAAGAATGTTTCAGCATGGCTGAAAGCTTTAAATCCTAGTTGTGTCTTTTCACTTCTAATAAATAAGAGGACACTGATTCCCAGTGTACCCAGGATGGTCCTACTTTTACATGTATTTAATCCTAGTTTAACTATTAATAACTCCTCCTGTAATTCTTACTGGAATCTCAGATTGAATGATATATAGTCTCATTATTTAGATCATTATCTCTACATAATAGTTACAAATGTTTGTTAAATGAATGAGTTTTTAAAAAGGTATATCTCAGTCTCACATTTTATCATTTTTATTTGTCAAGCTGTTTAACCACTTTAAGCAGCAACTTTGCCATCAATCTCAAAACCGTGAAACCAAGATTGATGCTGGGAGAGTCTTTTAATATCCTTAGGTGAAAAACTCAAAAGATACACTTATGATTAACATCAACAATAACAATTTTCTCTCACTATGTAAGTTTTATTTAGTATCCCCCTTGTCTTTCATTTCACCGCTGAGACGAACATCTTTATAGAGGTCCAGATGGTGCAGAGAGATTATGACAATGAAAAGTAGCTCATGCTGAGGGCCTCAAGGAAAAACACGTCTCGGCTTGCCTGACAGACCAATTTCAATTACGTACTTACTATGCCCCTCAACAGCTGAGGTGCTCCCTCTTACCATGCCTTGTGCAACTTCGGATAACACCTGAGGGGATTCATGGTTACACACAAAAGAGAAGCGACATGGACAAGTAAAATTCTTCCTACTTTACATAAGTGATGCCACACCCATTTTAGAAATAGGGGATTCATCACAAATGATCCACTCTATAGAAATCTCATGTTTTCTGAGAGTAAATCTTAAGAGAGGACTTCAGGGTTCCTTGTTATGAGGACATTTTGAAACATCACGTGTTTGTCAGGCTGGCCCAAACAATTTCTACAGGCAGGTTGTCAGAAGAAGATGCCTTCACCTCAGATGTGTAACGCTTACTTCCCTCAACCCCCATTTCAGTTTCAGAAAGAAGTGCTAATTAGAACTGGGGTAGCTTTTGCGAGTCTGCATAAATTCAGCTATGTCAACGTTGCTTCTGCCCCTCTGCAAAGTGGAAAACAGTGATGTTCTACATACCATGTTAATGTAGAAATAACTTCTATGCTCATTTAGCCACTTCAGCACATCCAGGAAAATGACATTATGAATGAGCTACATTACCTAGAGGAAAGAGACAGACTAAATGTGGACTTCTATACAACTTAATATGCATCTAATGTACAACTTAAGCAGTATCTTCCACACTAAATGACAGGCAAGTTATCTCCATACATCAGTATATGTTAAGGACATGACACAGCTTTATTGTTGAAGGAATTTGAAATTTCCAGCCATACCTGGATTTTCCTATATCCATTTATTAGTCAGCTACTTGCAGAAGTCAAAGTAATTGCCACATTCATTACTGTGTTTGCCTCCATTTAATCAGTTTTGCTTAAGCTTCTCCTATCCTCCTCTGGAATCCAGACAAGCAAAGGCCACTATCAAAAAGTGACAATGTTACATATGTATACGTATGTGTGCACATTTTGCCACTGCTAAAATCCCTTTATTTGCGTTATGTAAATGACCTACGTTAGTCACAGGACATTTACCTCAATTTAATATCTGTTATTTAGAGTGCTTGTTTCTGGCAAGACAAATGTCAACAGTTTTTGAAAACTAAGCACTGTTTATTGTTTAGCTGGCAGTTATAAATAACCACATCTAACATTTCTGTTATGTCTTTGGGAAAAAAAATTGTAATTTTTGTAAACCAAAGTGTTTCACGAGAAATTGCCACAGATTATTCCATAAGATCTTTCTTTATATTTCCAGCTCCCATTCTCTCCTCTTGTATTACATAACTATTTACTAGCCCTACAATGCACATATCTGATATTGAACTTACTGAATTATAGTCTGGTGAGTTGAATAAATTCTTTGTCATTTTTGGAAGGAACAAAGTCTGTGTATGCATTGACACACCTAAGTTTCATTAACCAACAAACAAAATTATATGCAAAGTGTCTTTCATTTTGACTACATAATATCAAATAACTAGCTTGAATGAATTTTATAGCCCCAACTGGACATCATCTCCATTTACAGAAGCCATGTGGGTCAAGTACCCAGCATCTTTCTGGGCACCTCATCTGTGAGTGGACAGGTTACCTGTCACCAGCAAAAATGCTTACCAATTATTAACCTTCCATTAAATCATCACCCAACACTTGGCCCTATTGTAATTACCCCCTTCAAATGGCTTTTCTATTACTATTTAAGGTCTGATTTAGATCACAGATATGTGTTAATATATCCATATCTGGGAACAGTGAGGAGCAGAAGGAAAAACATAGGCTAACAATTAATGGAGGGAAGAATGTGTCTTAGGCAATTTCTTAGATCATCTTTAGAGAATACAGGACAACTGTAAGTAAATTACACATTGTACAGCATTGAAAAGTCCTTGGATTTGACTCTATAAGGAAACCACAGTACACTCATTAAGTTAGCACCAAACAGTTATGGGATCCAAGTCAAAATTATATAATAAAGGATGAATACAACAATGGCATTCAGGGTGTCAGCATTGGAAATATCTGCTTTAGCGTCTAAATATTTATTTGCTATACCTGGGAACTAATCTGATATCCATTTGTGTAGTTTGATCAATTTGTCTGTGAGTAATAAATTAGTAACCCACTACAAACTAGAAAAAAGTGTACATAAATGACCCCCAAAGTGGTTGACCTCTACATGTTCATGGGATGACTTTTCATAGAACCCCTTCAATTATCACATTGGTATTAGCAAGACCAATATTTTTATTTACAGATTTTCATGTAAGTGTGCATTCCCTCCCTTTTATGTAGCAGACATTTTATCCTGGCTAGAAAATCAGGTTTTTTAGACACTGTAATTGTTCTAGTCTTAAGATTACAGAATAGGATTATACAGTATACAAACGTACTGTTAAAAGGATTTTATGCTTATTCCTATCCCCTCGGTATTTAATAAGAGAGAATCCAAATCATTTACAGATGTCTGTGGGTAGTAAAGAAAAAGTCTATGTGTATAGTACTCATTATCGCTAAAGAAAAATAAACAGATCTGTGAGCGAGAAGGCAGGGAAGATGCTGGCTACCTGGAATATAAGACAGACACATACTGAGACCTGGACCCAGGGACAAGAAACCTTAGTTCATTCAAGCTCCTGTCTTCCTGGAAGGGATATCCCTATGGCTCTTCTTCCACAAGCCATTATTCCACAAACAATTAACTCCTTTAATTAAAACATTTTTCCTCCAATGGAGACTTTGCAAAAATGTTGAAAATCTCAAGAATTTAAACCTGAACAGAAGGTACAATATTTTTCAATATATTAAATTCTTGCTCCTGTTGTTTAAGTCTAGTTTTCCTGATAGAAAAAAACAACTGGATCAAAGAAAATGAGATAGTAATGGAGGAAAGTGATATTTTGGTTTTGAAATAAAGATGAGAGACTTTCCTTTTTCATAAGGACTTTAGACTTTTCCCCTAGTAACCTAAAATACACCTTTGCCTTTTATGGAATTGTCCCACTTGCCATTTCATTTCACTTCATTTCATTTCATTTCATTGGTAATGGGTGGAAGCCCATGCAGTGGTAATTGCCAGTGAGAACTGAAACTACCTATCCGCCATCCAGGTTACTGTTTACATTAACACACATTTACTATTTCATTGCTCTCATTGGTATAACAACTATTCTAGGAGAGCCATGCCCAGGTAAACAACTTGATGGTTAATTACAGAAAACTCCCAAAAGACTCATCAAGACTGCAGTAGGAAGTATCAACCAACAGTTTATGCCCTAAAACTTCTCTGAACCCCTTCCCTCAAACGTCTCACAATGCTATTTCCACCAATCCTAACTGTTACATCAGGATCATTATCCAATCTCAACCAAACCCTAACATAAAAAGGTCAGCCTTAAACCAAACTTCCAACTGTCAATTTATTCTGATTCTGCCTTTACTCTTCTGAGACCTTGCCACAGCCTGGTCTAGGTGGTCACTCTCACTGAAGGAAGCAATGTGTCGTGAGAAACACGCTCACCTGTCCAAACCCAAAGAATGGACCTGGAGGCACGAAGAACAGCGAAAGTGAGACTTTTAATACTAGTCTTGCAAGATCGGGTGTCTGGTGAGCAGGCACATCCAGGCAGTCACAACAGGTAATTTATCTCCTAGCACATAAGTCCTTCCCCCAGTTCCTCACTAATCAAGTACTATGGCGTTACAATCTTCCCGGACGTCACCTAAGTTTCATTATCCCCCTTGTAAGGTTATACCCTGCTCCACTTCTCCGCTTAAATTTTGATTTCCCAATAACAAAACTTTCTTCCCTTTTATAGGCTGACCCTTCGTCTACATTCTGTTCACTTATGGTGACCTTCTAGGTGCATGACCATGTGGTTTGTTACATTTGCAGGCTGGCTGCCAGTATTTAGATATATCATGCCTTGAAAATGGACCATTGAAATTATATTCTCACATGTACTCAGTTTGTCTTATCAATATTTCGTATAGGTGGTATTTGGGGAGCAGCCTTTTGACATCATCCATTTCTTACAAAAAGAGAAGTGTGTGCAGATTAGTGGGAAAGACTGTTCTAGTAAAAAGTATACATCATATTATGATAATCCTTCCTGAAGGAAATTTAACCTCTGGTTTCAGACGCCACCCAGGTTTTCCTGCTTTTTCGAATAGTCGGTTCGTCATTCCTCACGTAAGGAAAGTGGTAAACACACTACCAGAGGCCAGAGCAAGTATCATGGAATGGAAAGTTATAGGAGAGTCATTTAATAAACATATTCACTGCATAGTGTGGTTTAGCCATCCTCAGCTAATCATTTTTTTTTTTTGAAGCAGAGGCTTATTCTGTTGTTCAGGCTGGAGTGCAGTGGCGTGATCACAGTTCATTGCAGTCTCGACTTGCCAGGCTCAAGCTATCCTCCCACCTCAGCCTCTCAAGTAGCTGGGACCACAGGTGCACATCATCTCACCTAGCTAATTTTCAAAAATTCTTTTGTGTAGATAGGCTCCCCCATATTGCCCAGGCTGGTCTTGAACTCCTAGGTTCAAGTGATCCTCCCTCATCAGCCTCCCAAAGTGCCAGGATTACCATGCCTGGCTCTCAACTAATCTCTGAATTTAAAAAATTGCCTCTGAGAAAAGTAAGGGAGAGTTCTCTATTTTGTATGGATCCAGAGAATCATTTCAGGCATCAACATAATACCAAGAAGAACCAAGCCACAAAACCATTATGATAATGAGCTACCATCTACGAACACTTACTATTTATTGAGTACTTACTATAATCCAGGCAATTAGAATATACTGTCACTCTTAATCTTCACATCAGTCTTATCTGGTAGATGTTATCGTCTCAATTTTCAAAAGAAGAAAATGCTTCAGATAGGTTAGGGAACCATCCCTGACCACACAAACTAAAACTCCTCTATTCCAATCATCCTCTATTGAAACGTAATGACTTACTTTCTTCATGGCGTTTTTCACCATCTGAAATTAGCCTGTTCATTTATTCACTTGTTAACTCTCTGTTTTTCCCTCACAAATTTAAAGTTCAGATTAGGAACCTCACCATCTATCTACCTCTCTAACTCTACTGCCTAGAGTGGTACCTGGAATATGGTGGATGCTCGATCTATGTCAAGTGATACAGTAGCATATTCCACAAAGAAGCAAGGGCTGAAATATGTGTTTAAAAATTTCCCCACATAATTCTGATATGCTTACCTCCCTCCCCACCACAGATATGTCTGATATAAATATCTACGCTGACACACTGAAGGAAAAATAAGGCTTTTTGAATTTTTATATTTTCTGAGGGAAAAAAAACCAGAAAATTTATGTGAAAGCTCACTTTGACTGACAAAAGTGATGATTCTCTAGCAATAGCACAGCCCATGAATTTGTTAGCTTGCAATCAACTGCTAATAGCACATTTCAGTATTGCTGACTGGCTTTAGAGATTACTGTTTCTGTGTTGTTTTTCACATTAAAATTTCTTTTCTAGCATCAGACAGTGAGTTACTAGCTATAGGGAGTAAAAGGCAGGAGTAGAGGAGGTCTGTAGAATCAACTTAAAAAATTTTTTTTCATTGATTTAGTCAGTAATTCCATACATTTTTTCTGAACCACGGGTGACCTTCATACACAACCACCAGGTTGTTCATTTTGTTTTGTGTTTTAGAGCATCAGTAAAACATACATGGTCTTACTGAATTCTCAGCAACTAAAGCCACCACAGATCTGCCTTGAATCGGTATTCTCAAAGTGTCAGGTGTAAGGCTAGAAGAGAAGGAATGCTCCTCACTCCAATCAATTTGCTCATTCAAATCAATCTACTGCACTCGCCAGCCAGTTAACAACCTCTGGGTCGGCAAGCAAGACTTTTTTTTTTTCTTGCTTTTAAGATGTGAATCCTGTGGTATATTTAGCTCATGCTACTGTGTTTGTCTTACTGTCTCTCAGAAATGTCTTTACCCTTTAAAAGATCCATAAACATTTTCAGAAATATGGTGGCAATAAATAGATCTTACACCATAAAAGGCATTCTAAAGAAATAGCATAGACCAACAAAAACAGTTCAAAAAAATATTTTCTGGGAGCAGTTGTACCATGGAATTCCTCAAATTGTTTTTACTACAAAAGCAACAATTCAAAACCAAATTGCAATTCAAGATAAAAATATGAGTGATTTATGATTCCCTCTCTAGGAGAGGAAAAATATCTTTCCTTTATCCTTCCTTTGGTTCATGGCCAAGCCCCTATAACAAAAGACGGATTAAAAAGAGAAAAGCATATAAATTTATTTTACAGAAGTTTTTTGTGGCATGAAAAGTTTCATAACGAAATAATGACCTTAAGAAACAGGCAATCCTACAATTTTTAAGCTAGTTTTGATAAACAAATGGATAGTCATGGAAAAGAATGATTGGATAAAAAGTATGCTCTAGTGGTAATAAACTGGGAGAAACTTAGTAAGACCTGTCGGATCAGATTCTTCTCTGTAACCTTTGCCAAAGATAAGGAGGAACTTATATTCTCGGTATTGGCAAGGTATCTCTGACATGAGGGTCTTGTGACATGCATCAGGGGGAGGTGAGAAAATCCTTCCTAGGTTTTGTGGCCTGCTTCAAGAGACAAGGGAAGGAGAAGGTCAGAGCATGACCTTCCTACTTCAGTGTTCTTTTTTTATTATTATTATTTTTACTTTTTCAAATTCCTTCTTAAATTATTTTAAAGTAATTGTGACCAGAACCCCATCACCTCACTTAAAAACATCTGGAAACTGGCGTTTAGAGGGATATATCATCCGTCAAGGTCAGAGGCCAAACAGGTTTCTGAATAAAGCTGGATTGAAACTAGGTCTGACTGCAGGGGAAACAATACTGGAGTGCTGGGAAGGGAAGAGTGTGGTCGCTTTAAATGATACAGAAGCGGGGAAGGGAAGTGCTGGGTAGAGAAAGGCCAGTCCCTGGCTAGGGCTCCACCCCCACGGACCCAGGTGAGAACAGGCATTTCCTGCCCAAATGTTGCATTTCCCAAGACTACCCTGGCCCATCCTGGGCCTATAAAAACCGGAGACCCTAGCAGGCCAACACACAGAAGCGGCTGGATACCCTGAGGAGCACATCAGCAGAAGACGACACAAGCTGCTGGACGGCGAGAGAACATCGAGAGGATGTCCAGGGAGCACGTCAAGAGGACGTGGAGGGAGTATGCAGGTGGAAGAGCACACCGACAGACGTCGGCACAGCAGCCAGCCGTCCACCATCGAAAGGTGGCGGAGTTTGGCTGGAGCGACCAGAGAAGAGTCCGGCTGCAAAGCGGCCTGACTCCAGGGGAAAACCATCTCCCTCTGGCTCAGCCATCAGCTGAGAGCTACTTCTACTCAATAAAACCTGCCACTCATTCTCCTAGCCCACATATGATCCGATTCTTCTGGCACACCAAGGCAAGAAACCCCAGGATACAGAAATCCCTCTGTCGGAAGGGGATCTAATGGATCTGGTTAACACAAGCCGCCTATAGACGGCAAACTAAGAGAGCATCATGTAACACACGCCCACTGGGGTTTCAGGAGCTGTGAATATTCACCCCTAGACACTGCCATGGGGTCAGAGCCCCACAGCCTGCCAGTCTTTATGCACCCCTAGACGTTCAAACAGCAGGGCACTGAAGCAGCCAGCCACATCCCCATCGCACGCCCTGCGAGGGGGACAAGGGAATCTTTCCCATTTCAGAAGCTGGATTGAAACTAGGTCTGATTCCAGCAACAAAGCTCCAAGTTGCTGGCACTCTCTGCCATTTGTCCTCCTAATGTCTATGCTCCCTAGGAAAGTTATTCTCCAATGGGTCAAAGTTATCATCTAGTGTGTACATGTTCAGAAAAGCTAATGACATATGTTAGCGGAGCTGCCCCCTACAGCTCTGCTTCGGTTTGGGAGGCAATTGGTTGCTTTGCTATTTACCAACAATTTCAGAGGCGGGAGAGAAGTTTGAAGGATTTCTAAGGGATAGTGAGGGATGAAATAAAAACCTGAAGGAAAAACCCTGTGGGGTTTTCAGTTAACATTCCAAAAATAATTCAGAGACTAGGACTGGAAAACTTTGTATAATTTATTTTGCTTCAAATTATTATATTTTATGTCTCTTATACCCTAAAATGATTAGGAAGAAACAGCTAATAGAACAAATACACCAAGACTGGTCTTTGGATGTGGCAAAAATGCCAGGGTAGTCTCTTCCAATTTTGTACACTCTTGGAGGGAAAGAACTCCAGGGATTAGTGCATAAACTGGCTGCTTTAAGGAGGACAAAACAACTGCCACCCTGGGATTTATAGGAAGTGGGCAAAGGAGAATGTTAAAGTTGATCCATGAGGAACAGATTTGCCTTAACGAAAGCAGGTCCCAGGCGATTCCCCACATACAGCGCCTTCTCTGTCCAACTAACCCATCACTCACATTGCTATTCTTGACAGAAATGTCTGTCTGTCTTTTTTTGTGGTTACAACATTCTTCAAAGACCAACTCAAATCTCTCCTCCTCCAGAAAACTCTGTTGATCACTCTCTAATTGCCAGCATCTCCAGAATGCTTACTGCCTATATATCCTGAACTACGTAACTCGGAATTTAATTTTATAAGTGGGCAAGAAGGTCTTAACCTTCCCTTCAACTTGACCAAACTTCACACAGGTTTGTTACTGACCACAGGCCCTTGATCTCCCTTTTCTAAGAGGATTTACTTTAGACCACTTGGAATTGTAAATTCTTTCTGTGTTCCCTTAACACGTAAATCTTCTGCTAGACTCCTGTCAGTTTTACAACCCAGGAATGTCTTTCTCAAGGTCCTGGGAGCCATCCCTTTTGAAATAAAATCTTCAGGAATGCTACTGTTACTATCTCCCAGTCTTAGGGTGAAGGTAAGAGCCTAACCTCTACAAGCATCAATTAGCAAACACAGATGGCCTCGTCAGGATGACCAACGTTACCCAATTAAGTTTTCTAATACTTTTCCACTTGCTCACCCCAGTTATCAATAACTCTTCTTTTGTTTCAGCACAGTTCAGTTCTCTCTCTCTCTCCTCTTGCAATAGTCTTGATCCCTGTTGCAATAATCTTAAGTCTTCCTTACCCGCTTGTCCAGGATAACTTCTCTTTGATACACTGATAAATTCAGTAGCTATTTCCTGTGTGCTATCTTTCTTAGACCGGAATATAAGATCCTGTAACTATTTTAATTGAATAATGTGGTCTTTCTGGAAACTTCTCTGTTAATATAGTCCCTCTCTTCCCCTGTTTACTGCTTCTACCTTCCCCAGTACACACACACACATCATTGACACTTTATGACTGAATTCTAAGTTTTTTAAAAAATACGTATTTGTCCAGGTGTGGTGCTCATACCTGTAATCCCAACACTTTCGGAGACTGAGGCAGGAAGATCGCTTGAGCCCATAAGTTGAAGACCAGCCTAGGCAACAAAGTGAGACCTCACTTCTACAAAAATTAAAGAAAAATTAAAGAAAAAAAAATAGCCAGGCATGATGGTATATGCACCTGTGGTCCCAGCCACTGGAGAGGCTGAGGCAGGCAGTAGGATCACTTGAGCCCAGGCAGTTGCAGCTACAGTGAGCTGTGATTACTGCACTGCACTCCAGCCTGGGCAACAGAGCAAGACCTGTCTCGACAGAAAAAAAAAAAAAAAAAAGGTGTTTTGTTGTTGTTGCTGTTGTTTGTTTGTTTTAAATACATATTTGGACCTCCCTTCTCCACTGCTTTTTAACAAGGTGCTGAGTGGCTAGGAAACATTCAGTAAATACTAGTTTCCTTGGTGGTCAAAATATTTTTCTTCTCTGGAACTCAGAAAATAGATTACAGATGAAATATACGGGATAAGTCAGCCTGTGGTAGTCACCTCTAATGACTATTTTGACTTTCTTTCTTGCTTCAGTCACAGTAGGCTCAGAGTCCTTCTCAACATCACATTTCAGGCAGCCAGCACCACGCTATCAAATTCCGCACATAAATTGAAACCTACTAGCCTTTCTTAAAGATGCCCTTTTAATCTAAAGAATATTTGATTTTAAACTCTGTTTTTTGATGAGATTCATCACCTTCATGCTTAAAGAGCCATTTATTATTTGGTAAGTAAACTAGTTCACATTCCTTTTAAAAAATCAATATCAAAGATTAAACTAAGGTTTTTTTTTTTCCACACATTTGAGTTGCGAAATCACTGGCAGAGGGTGTCTAAAATGAAATAGACCAAAATATGCTCAAAAACAACAGATTTTTGTTTTCTTGAAAGACAAGAACTTTCCTAGTCAGTACATCTTCTAAAATAAGGCCCTTAGAATGTGATTGCCTAGAAAATATTCACTGCTTTTCTTCTTAAAGTGTTCATTGTTATTTTTGAAGAAATGAAGCAGAGTAGAATGTTACCAGTTTTAATAGCCATCACTTTTACTCATCATCTTTCTAATTCCTAGGGTTCAAAATATAAAGGAAAGAATAAAGGAACCACCATAATAGATTATGAAACATAGAGATGACCACGGAAATGGTCTTCTAAGATAAAAATACATGCAATGAATAATTGAGGGAGAAGAGTCACCATGCAGTCACTTAGTACACATTGTTTCCTGCCTTAAGAGGAGCCATAGGTCTAGGCATTTATTCCCCCCAAAAGTGGGGGTGAGGGTGAGGGGTGAGGGTGACGGGATAAGACTGGTTTCAAGGTAGGTTTCTAGTTGATTCAATAACCAAGGTAAACAGAGAAATGAGGTGATTCGAGTTTCTCAGGGACTCTCAAAGACAATAATATTTAGGTAAACAAGAAATATATAAGTGTTTTAAGGTTTTCATAATTTCTATTGCTTTACTATTTTTTTAACCCCTGGAGTAAGTGGGGGTGTTGTCTGTCTTGCTGCAATGGCCTCCTCTCTCTGAAAATTGTTGCCTCTTCCCATCCACATGTTGTACACACTAAGGTGCCAAGTTTGTACCTTGACACCTATCTCCAGCTACTCCTGTACATCAGGATACACAACTCACTCAAGATGACCAATACCATTTTCAGAAAATTTGCAATTGAGTGTGGCTTGTTAGTTTAAAATAAACGGATAAATTCCTAAGCAGTGAGACAAAATCTAAATGCAACACACATGGAAATAAAACATACAGGAGAGACCAAAAAGGGAGAAAAAAAAATAGAACAAAAACATGGCTGCCCAAGGTTCTCATCGGCTTTTCTGTCCCTTCATCAGGCCCTCGAAAGGACCCTTAAATTCTGTAAGATACGCCTGTGTCCTCATAATTCATTATTTTTGCTAATGGTAACATAAATGACTTTCTGTAGTTAAAAAGGAAAAAGAGAGTAAGATACTCTTAATAGTGCCTTTGTTTTTATAGGCAGTAACAATAGAAAACACTCCAAAGGACGCGAATGTCTTTTTAGCCACAGAAAACTGAAGGAGAAAGCTGTGCTAGCAATGATCTGAAAGGCAAGGGACACAGGTGGAAGGCCAGATGGTTGTTGCCAGAAGGGGAGAAAATGGGCCAAGTTCTTGATACCCTTGGGATATAGAGATGCAAGGTGAATAGAATGTTGGCCAGGAGACACAACTGGCCCCAAAGGATTTGACCAGGCAAAAGGCACTAGTCACTCATAGCTTTACACTATGACAGTTGAAATGCTTTTTAAATGGGTTCTAGAATGTTATACATGGAGAAAATCTACTCTTTCCCCTATCAGGCAAAAAAGGCAAGAGGGAAACAACTTTAAGCAAGAATGAAAATGATTTTTTCCTCTGACTAATTGAATTTTGAGGAGCCTTGAATGTCCCTCTTATTTCATTTTCTTTTGTTGTTACGTTAAAATAATCAAAAAATAGTTTTTTAAAGTTTAAAATATGTCTGCCTGTTTACTCAGACCCCAATGGAGGGTCATATTTCTGTCAATTCTTTGATTGTCAAAAAGAGTCAGGTTCTGGTACAAGATCTTTAACAACTGAATTACTCTGAATTCTGTTTTACTGCTTAAGAAGGATGGTTATATTTGTCTTTCATAGAATCTCAGAGTTGGAAAAAATCTTAGAAAATGTCAAATTTAATTTCTCATTCATATATACACACTACCTGTGTCAGTACTTTCTTGATATTTTTCCTTAAGTAGACTCAGTTTTTACCTCTTAATAGGAATTTAATAGAAAATCAATAACATGAACTAAAAACCAGTAGCATATTTCAGAAATAGAAAGTATTCATTTAAGAAAATGTTCATCTGAATATCACCTAAAATCAACTGGCATACACATATTAATGATAACATTTTAGTTGAAATAGAGTCCTTTCCTCTTGCCATCTAACAAGGATATCATGAAAGGCTTTGTAAAATATTGTGCTAAGAAGCAGACAGCTGTTAATCCCAAAACTCTTCACTCTAAATGGAAATCTCTTTCATCTAACTTGGCATGTTCTTAGTAAATACACCTTAATTCACTCTCAGTGTCCACTATTGAAGACCACATATACCCAGGAAGATGCTGTGACACATGTAAGAGGAGCAGTTCTTTGTAGAATAAATGCTTTGTAATGATTTTATTCTCTGCTATCTGAGGACTATCTGTATATATTGACTACTTGCACAAACGAAACTTTTACACATTCTATATGCTCACATTTCTTCAACATCTTACTGAACAAAACAATTTCACAGTAGGATACCAGTGAGGATTTTCATAATGAAAATCTGCATGAGAGCACAGTAATAACATGCTATAATTGCTCAGAGAGAAATAATTCTTCATGTCCAAGTTTGCCAATGGCACACTCCATTATTATTTGAAGTGGAACAGGTCACTTAAATTTCTCTGTATCCATGTCACAAGTTTCATTTAAGTTGTGCGTTTTACTTGCAAATTTACAAAGTGAAATATGGTTTATTAGAAGAGATAGTACTGGAAATTATTTGTCAGATGTCTTTTGTAGTAACATTTCTATTCACATCTTAGCTTCATGCAAGGAATAGGACCATATAAAAATAAAGCTAGAACACAAATCATCACATATTCATATGTCAGGACTCTGAGCTTAAAGAAGAAATCCCTTTTATATCTGTGATAAACTCAGATGTCTAGCTTTCCCTGCAACCATGCATATCCCTTACTGGATAAATTGCTAAAAGAGGTTCCCTATACAAATTCTTATCCATAAAAGCAGGCATCCTAATCTGTACTTGTCACTGTTATTTTCTTTAATATGTAAGTCAATTATAGCAAGCTTTAAATGGAACCTAATGAGAAATTCTCATAATTAAAGAGAAAACAGTACAGGAACTTCCTGCCAATATAAACTGTTAATTTCGCAACACATGCTCCATAGACTTTTTCCAATTTCTATATTTTATTCACACTGTGTGTTTCCCCAAAATAATGCTTTTAATGAAATTTTCCCATTGAGTACAATTTTCTTAATTTAAATGATAACTACATTTTTAATCTGAAACCTCTTTAAGATCCTCATTGGCAAAAGACAAGATTGAGAATCACTTCCATTTTCAGGAAATTGTGTAAAATCAGCATGGCAGATATAGCAATAGATGTTTCTCTTTATTTTCCACTTTGAGACCTGGGAGCTTATTATTTGAATAGCCATGAAAAACAGAATGGATTAACAACAAAAAAAGAGATCATACACATTTTTCTTATCAGAAGTCAAAATGGTATTTCACTTAACTGGCTAAAAATACGGAATGTAACATCTCATATATTAATGCATCTTCCTGTAAGATCTGTTCCAATATCTAAGCATATCCAAATGCTAAAATCCACAGAACAGTGCAAGGAAAAAATACTAGTAAAACCCAATGGAAAGCTACCATCAGAAGCTGAGTGTATTCATCTAGCTTTGCACTGCAGTAAAGTACATTCCGTAGAGTACATTCTGAATAGCAATAGCCTACCTTTAAGCTGCACTGTCTTACATATTTCAAATCACACTTTGTTTGAAAGAACAGACTGGTTATTTCCAAGATATCTCATGAAAAACTTATTATAGTTCGAGGAAAATAAGAGTTGAAGCCTTGGCGGAATACCCAAAGGCATTTTGCTTTTCTGACTACTATTCAAATCTTACTTGGCCCAACTTGACAGCCATTCTTTCTGACAACGTTAAGCGGTTTCAGTAAGTGGTATGTAACCTGCAGTTTTCTTTCACTTGGGATACTGTTTATAGCTAATTCAGGCACAAGGGACTAGAAAACATAATATTTTCATAACTATAAATTACTTTTATGTGGTTTCTCAACTACTATGTAGTGTAGGATGATGTACAGGAGTGGAAGAAAGAACAATGAGCCTGGACAGGTTTTTCAAATTTGAGCAACAGAAACGGATTTAAAAGACAGATTACAGGGTCCTCACTCCAGATATTTGAATTATGTGCAGGGCCTGAAAACCTGTGTTTTGAAAAATCTCTCCAAATTATTCTTATATTGGAGTACCTTCTCTAGACACACCGGGGTTGAGATTAACTACCAAATATTAATAGTGTGTGACTGTTAAGAGGAAGAACGTGGTGCAGTGGGGTGGAGTGTGGGAGGTGGTTCAAGATATAAGGGAAGAGAATATATTACTTTATTTATTACTTCATTCAGTCATTTATTACTTCAAGTAGACTTCATAAAGAAAACTCACTTTGCTTTGAAAGTATCTTAAAGTATAAAAAAAACTTTAACTTTATACAAGCAATGAACGTATGTTTCAAATATGCAAATTAAATATTTTAAATATTCCAAAAAAAGTATCCATCTTAATTTTATCAAAAAGAAAACTGAGACTCAAAGAATTCCACTGACTTGTCCAGAATTACACAGCTAACAAGGTCAATTACAACTAAAATTCAAATTCAATTCTGCAAAACTTATGGTCTTTGTAATACTCCATGCTGCTTCCTTCAAATAGTAAGTTAATTTATCTTGGCCTCACTTTACCAATGGCCAAAATGAAAGAATGTGCCAGAGGTTGAGAAATGACTAACCCAGTAATTATTTAAAACATCCAAGGGAAGGTGTATGGCCCAATAGCAAGATTTGGCCGAAAGAAAGTAATTAGGAAAAGAACTTCTTGGAAATTTAAAATAATTTTTTTCTACTTTAAACAAATATCCAAAATAATTTTCCTTAATATTTAAAAAGAGGAAAGGACAAACATTCATTGAATATCTTACTATGTCCACTGACTATCCTATCCTGCATGCTATACTTAAAGTGTATTATTTGATTTAATCCTCAAGACAAACCTCTAAATATAGTTGTACTGAATACATCATACACGGGAAAAAGTACGGTTAAACAAATTAATTTGTCAACAATTGAAACAAAAAGTCCATGTTAGAATCTATACCGCCTTCCCTTAAAATCCTATGTCTTTCTAATATAGAGAAAGACAACATCATATGCAATGAGCAACAGAACACGAGTAGCCTTTTTTTTTTTTTTTCCACCATGGAAAGCCTTGGTTTCTAAAAATGCATTGCATGAGACCTTTGTAATTATGCAGAAGACAGCTGGTTATTCTCAGTTTTCCCTGAGGAAAGAATGGGAGATAATAAACTTCAACCATACTTGTGACATTTAGATTACTGGGAAATAATCTTTAGAAGTATTGGGCTTCTAGAAGTATTAGGCAACAAGAGCTTTTAGAGTCAACTATGGATGAGGACCTTCAGGGGATTATCACCTTAAAAATCCTGGATCATTTCTCACTTACTGGTATTACTCATGCACACCCCTCCTAGCTTGAAAGCAAGAGAAAGTCTAAGGAGACTGCTCAGCAGCTTGCAGCACTGTAAATTTATGTGCAGGCACTTTCAAAACAACTTCAGAAAACAGATTTCCCTTTCAACTTACTTGTTTTTTTCATTTAGTGTATTCTATCAGAGCAAGTCCAAGACAAAAGCTTTCCCAAGAGAAAAGCTGAGATAAGGAATAATGTATTCGGTGAAAATATGTAAGATTTATTCTAGGTTTATCATTCAGACCAAACCTAGTATCTATAAATTATCCACATTTCCCCCTAAATTTTATATCATCACAAATGTACATCAAAACAGGTATTCCTTTTTAATTGTCGTGAAATATGTTATCTCAGGCAAGTGTAATAACTTGAAAAATATTCATGATACTTAATTACTTTTGTTCTTTAATTCATTTAACTTCCCTCTGAGGGTGTTAGCATTTCCTAGTATTTCAGAACAATGGTTTACAAGTTGTCTTCCACAGCAATATCACGTTCCCATGTAGGAATCCCTATGGACATGATTAGTTTAGATATAAATGAGGTTTATCAGGAATAATTCCCAGATAACTAGCTCTAGCCTATCCTATTCTCACAGTAATTGTCATATCCAGTGCTCCAGATACCACAAGAGACAAATGCCCTTTTACATTGCTATCAAGGGCCAGTATTCTACATTTATGTTTAGATTAAGTTGGCTAAACTTTTGTATCAGTGTAAGTGCTAACACTGACGTTTTACAGAAGAGCTTGCATTTTAGTTGCATATGTATTAAATGATTTGGAGACTATTTTAATTACTAAGATGCTTTGTTGAGAGATTATTTTGATACATTTACTTCGGGGTAAAGTTGAGCTGTGTGCCCTCTGAGTCAATATTAAGAAAGGAGAGAAGAGGGGATTTGATATTGTCAGGATAAACTAAAAAGGAAAGAAGAAACTTGGTTGGGGCAAGGATAGTGGGGTGGGGGAAATGGTGAAGGGTCAGTTAAAAAGCCAGTGGTGGCTACATGGCTGGGAAAGAACTTTGGTGAGTAGATGTGTCTAGCACTATTTTTTTATGTGGTTGATTTGAGGTGTGAAAAATTAGCTTCCACCCCTTTCCTTTGTAGAGGATGATCACTGGTAAATTATGTGTGACTCACTGATGCTTTTGTGGAAGTGAATTCTCTTTGGAGAGCTTAAACAGAAAAATGAAGAAGCAGTTAACATCTAGGTTTTCGAAGTATATACTCAGAGATCAACATCTTTGAAGAAAGATATACAAAGCCATTAATTTCTCTAGAGAGTGCTTCATCATGCCCCATGAGTTTATAATTCTTCAAGGCCTAGGTCAAGGTCTATTTTCTCCAAGAAACTGTTTCTGATTATCCATCCCTCGGTGATCTTCCTCCCTTATGTAACCCTACAATTCTCACCTCCTGTGCCTTTTAATTTAGCATCTAATACTGTAATTCATAAAAGGCCTAATCAAAATAGATTAAAAAAAACAGACAATGGAATAAAATTCAGACCAAAGCCTAGCAACCATCTTATTCATTCTGCATCGGTACTGGCTGGTGACAGCTTACACCACCTGCTATACAATGATGCAATCCAATGTGCGAGAATCTTTTTTTGTTACACCTTTACATGTGCTTTCAGGTGTTTTGGTTACAGCTATGGGTATCAGAATTTTATTGATGGGTGAGCATTTTCTTTTCCTAAGACCTAAAAGTAGCAGGGGAAAAGGCTCAGCATGTTTTACCCAAATAGATTTTTTTTTTTTCCGAATGGATAAAGACAAACTTTGGAGCCAAATGCTTCATTGTTTGTGCATAAATCTCAACAGGCTGGTTGAATTAAGCTCTACATATTCATCAACAGGCATTGCCAATAAAGACACAAATACAACAAATTAATATTTTTCAAAACTCTGTGTCTTCAGAAAATTTCTATGAGGCTTTGATGAACAAAACACAAACATAAGAAGCACCACCATTGTCTCACTGTTTGGGCGCAATCATTCTCAAGGACATCTGTGCTGATTCCTTTTCAAACTTGGATGGCTGCTATCTGAATCAGGCCCAGATGCTTTTGTTGGAAAAAAAAATCTGAATTTTGGGGTTTTCATTTAAGTTGAGTAACAGCTTTCTCCACTCAAACATGCAATTTATTTTACAGTGTGAGATTAATAGCAATAATTGCCTGGGAAATAAAGAAGTCTTGAAGAAAAATACCACATATCAAAAGGCTACTTAAAAAAAAAATGCGGGTCTTTGCTCAAGCAATGAAGCTATGCTTCTTATTTGCAAATCATTCTATTATAACTTCAGTCATACTATGCAGACTACTTTAAACATCTGAAATTTAACATCTGAAATTTAAACATCTGAAAATTTTAAGTTTTTAAATGAAAAATCAGGAGGGTTGATATTAGGCTTGTAAATGTAATATTTGCATTTACATATTTCTATATAAAATTGCACAATTTTATCTAGAACAGAACCCACCTGGCAGTCTTAACACAATAATTATTTGCCTAGGGGCCCAGAAAGTGGCCATCAGTAGAGATTCAATTTTTCTGAGATGAAACTATTGAGTGAAGTGCATTCCCTCCTTGATAGGAAGCCCAACTGAGAGATAAAGTTTTGATGGATTCATTAACAGCCCGGCCTGTAAATCTCATCTCCACTGAGATTTTAAAGCAAATGGCATTATTCTTTCATTATGCTGAGGCCCTTACTACCCTGTTCCGAGTTGGTATTTGAACCTAACGGCCTAAGAATATTTATAAAGTGAAGAAAAGTAAGGGTACATTTTTTTTTCCTTTATTTTTTCCCTCAAGGCTTGTCTCACAAGTGCAATTACCTGGCTCTGGGTCCAGGAAAGCCAGGTCTCAGCATACAGAATACATTCACACTGTGTCTTCCAGCAACCCACCAGACCTCTGCATTTCCCAAACCACAGTACTTCTCAAACCAGCACACCTTGGCAGTGCTAGGGGGCAGTGCACAGAAGCCAGATTTGGCAAGAGAGAAAAGGGAAAATATTTAAGTGTCAATGTAAAGCCACAGTACACTGCATGATTTTATTCAGCTCATAAAAGGGTTATTTCTAGGAGAAGTAAGGAATTCTGCAAACATATAAGACAAAATCAGAATGAAATGATTATTCAAAGAAACAGAAGGGGTGCAAAAAAAAGAGATGTCTCCTAAGTCTTTTTTGAGGGGAAAAGGGAGAAATCTAATAAATCTAACAGAAATGTTTACAGGTTGGTTACAGGTATTTTTTTTTTTTTTGACAGATGAACACATTGGAAAGGTGGTCTGGGACAGATGTCAACAAAAGGGTTTGCCAGTATAATGACTGCAAGGTGCAACTACAGAGTACCCACAGTTCTCCATCTCAAGTAAATCAATTCAGCCTTGAGAAACTACTTTGACAATTATAAATATAAATATATACACACACGCACATATTATATACACACACACATTATATACACACACACAATTATGTTTGTGTGTGTGTGTGTGTGTGTGTGTGTGCAAAATACCCAGAATGTCACTTCCCTCCCCAAACTGATATCTGTATACATTTCTATGTTGTATTGGATACATATTTATAAATTCAAAATTTGGAGATACATATTTATGGATAAATACCTATCTCTTTGTAAACTACAGGCACCAATATAGCAGTTTTTAATCTTTTAAAATCTAGTTTAGCATGGAAAATTATCCTCATTCTTGTTCTTTCTGAAACCCTCTTACTTTATATCATAGTATTTTGATGAAAAAGAATACAAGAAGATCATAACTCTCAATCAATCAACAATTATTTGGTGGTGACCAGTAATCTGATCAGCCTTGTGCCAGTTGCTTTGTTGATAAAAGGACTCAAAACCACTGTCCTGACATAAACAAGATAACAACATCAGAAAAAAAAAAAATTGTGAGGTATGTCACTTATCTTTCTGGGTCTCTACTTGCTTGATTTTTAAGAATCATATACAAATAACAGCAGCCTCGTATTTTTATTCTGTTTATAGAAATCAGAGATTATATATGATTTTAGAGAAGGGAGAAATTAGAAAAAACTCTGTGGTTTGAGGTGCGACCTGCAGAGGTCCTGACATGTGGAAGGGTTGGGGTGAAAAGATGAAAGGTGAAAGGTCATTTCTGACCAGGAAAACAACACATTGCAGAGGCACAGATCTGGAATTTGTATAGGGCATGTGGGCACTTGGGAAGAGGACATTAACCAGCTCTTATGGAAAGGAGTAGTTTGCAGAGGCAAGGCTGAGTCAGGCAGAGGTAGTCCTAGAAAGCCACACAGGAGTTTAGTTTGGATGCATGGGCAAGTCATGCATCCATTCATTCTACATTCACTGCTCATTTCCTGAGTTCTTCCTCTGTGCCAGGCCATACTGAAAAGCGATGACCCAGAGTGAGAGAGGATAGGCATGGTCCCAGACCACATGAAGTAGAATCTAAGACTAAAGTGCCAGATTTAAAACTGTATATAAGTGAAGAGTCTTCACATTCAACATGACATACTTATAAAGATTTTAAAAAGGTCTTTGATGTTTCATAGTATCTAACGTTGTTGCCTAGTTCTCTCAAAGCATAATTAAAAATGTGATTCTCTTGACATGTTATAAGCAATAAAATTTGGGGAGAGGAGGGGATTTCTAGATGTCAAAGTAAGTATAAATGGGCATAGACATGATTAGGTTAGGCTGAAAGGTTGGTTGGTCATTGTTTACAGTTGGTGGTAGAACATGCCAAGTTAGATGAGTCCCAAAGAGATTTTATAGCTATGAGATATCATCTTGTGTGTTCCTGGCTTTCAGATTGGTACTTGTCACCATGGAATTCTAGAGCAGCAAGGAAGTGCAGATCTTATTATTTTGAGACAGAGTCTCTCTGTCTCTCAACCTGGAGTGCAGTGAGATGACCATAGCTCACTGTAGCCTCCATCTTCTGGGCTCAAGCCATCCTCCCACCTCGGCCTTCCAAAGTATTGGGATTACAGGCATGCGCCACCACACCCAGCTGCCGTACTTTATTTAGTTTCAAACTCTATTTTCTGAATGATGAAGGTGGAATTCAAATTGGTCAAGGATTTTACTAAAGCCACACAGCTGGTTAGTTGGCAAATCCTGAGCTAAAAATAATGTATACTGATTCGTATAACCACCCCCACCTTTACCAAGTTTGAGATCAGATTTTAAGAGGATGCTGCAATCTCTATTCTCTTCATAACCAGAGGAGCGTTTAGTCCATGGTCCTGGTTCCCACAGTCAAACTCTTTTGGATCTATAATTTATTTGTGAATGAAAACAAGCCATTACAAAGTGGCAATAAAGCAAATGTAGGGTGTGGCTATAGCAATAATTAATCATAATCTCAGGTCCCAGGTGGTTCATCTTGAGCTGATATTTTTTTCCTACTGTTTGTGACATGATGAAGATATAAATAGATTTTAAGTTTAAATGGAAAGCAAATCCATTTCTCTAGCAGTTATAAGTGTATTAATAGATTGTTTAGTCACTCGAACATGTTTATAATCTGTTATTTTCTTAAGAAATACTCTCAGGGCTGGGTGCAGTGGCTCACACCTGTAATCCCAGCAATTTGGGAGGCTGAGGTGGGCAGATTACCTGAGGTCACGAGTTCAAGACCAGCCTGGCCAACATGGTGAAACCCTGTCTCCACTAAAAATAAAAAAATCAGCCAGGAATGGTGGTGGGCGCCTGTATTCCCAGCTACATGGGAGGCTGAGGCAGGAGAATTGTTTGAACCAGGGAGGCAGAGGTTTCAGTGAGCAGAGATTGTGCCACTGCACTCTAGCCTAGAGGACAAGAGCGAGATTCCATCTCAAAAAAAAAAAAAAAAAATTCATGCTAGTATAGTAGGAATCAGTTGCAGAGTCAGGGAAGCTAAGCTTTGCAAGAAACCTTGGACCATTTTTATTCAGTGGTATCATAAATTTATTTGGAGGTACGATACTTTAGAATACACATATACACACACAAAACACATTTGCTTATTATGTCAGGGGGTTCCTACATCTTTTGAAGTCTCTCTTCAGACCCACCCTTAGCTAAGAAAACTGATTTGGTGCAGTCATTTAACTTGGTACATGGATACATTTCTTTCAGCATTAAGTGGTCTAAGGTCAACTCATGTGTAGGAAGGTCCTGAGTCAGGAAAGGAGGAATACTAGACACATCATGTTCATTTCAGGTCCAATCCCATTGCAACGCTGGGCAAGATAACTTACAGTCTTTGGCCCTCAGGTTCTTCCTCTGTAAAAAAGATAAATGATCACAGTAGTACATGACTGCTGTTTATTGAGTACCTACTGTGTTAATGCTAGGCACTTTACATATTTGCTTTCAATTACTGCTAATATCAATATTTTGTAGTAGACATGAATCACCTTTTCACAGATGAGAAAACCAAGGATTAGAAATGGAAATGTGCCTCATATCACGAAGTAAAAAGATCCAGGATTTGTACCATTTGTCTCCAAAATGCATGTCCTTCTCTATGATATGGAAATTCCTACTTGTAAGGAATAAGGCAGCCTCATTTATCTGCCTACGTGAAAAGAGCCTTCAAAATAATATTATAAAAACCAGAGTTTCATATCAATGTGATATAGTTGAGCATTTTTATAATTCTAGAGAACAGAATGAGGCAGGAATGAGAGGGAATATGAAGAAAAGGATAACAGGATAACATTCTTTATGATGGGGTACCTGATTTTTGGTGTCACTGACTATCATATTTGGTAAGGTAGTTTATAAAGGGGTTTAGAAAGTTACACTAACAGCTTAGAAGTCCAATAATATTTTCCTTCTAAAGTATTCAAAGAAAGAACAATGAGATAACTTTAAGGAGAGTAAACTGGCTTTTCAGATGAACTTTCTGAAATGATTATCAAAAAGAGCTCTAGTTTTCTTATGTCTAAGATAAATTATTACACCACCGCAGCAATTTCAGGTCTGGACTGCTTCCTGAGTGTAGCCCCAAATAAAGGTCCTCAAGACACTTCCAAATATGCAAATCAGCTGAGTGGGTTTGTGTGTGTGTTAAACTGTATTGAGTTTCAGAGTAAACCTGCTTCAGAGTCAGCTAGGGAAACAAACCACAGTTTGATTTTAGCAGAGTGAAGGACAAGCACAGTCCATCCCCTTTCACACCCCATAGCTTCACCAGGTATCAGCACACAGCCCTTTAAAGATTAAGCTCTAAATGGCCACACTTTTTGAGACTTTAATAAAAAAGCTTTTTACAGTATTTCTCCTAAAAATGTCTGAAAACAATTTGTTTTCTTGAAGCCAAAGCACAGAACTACAGCTTCCCCTCCTCTCCCTATTATTGTGATTTCCAAATGAATGGCATTGAGTTGATTGTTTATCATGCTGGATAATGGCTTAATTTATTACAGAAACCCTAGTCAGACATTAAAAAACTGTAAAAGCCCACTGATCTACCAAATCCTTTTGAGACATAGGGCCTATGCGCATTAAAAACCTGCTAGACCATGGTGAGCCTATGAGATAGGAAACTTTTTTGTCTCATTAGCACCAGGATTTAAAAATACAGCACCTCCTCAGGTTGAAATGCCAAGCTTGAGACTGCTGTGTGCAGCTGGGTGTAGAGGACACCTGGATAAGTCTTAATGGTGTGTAAACAGCAGGATTAGTGTTTCTGAGTCTCCGCTGTGCAGAGATTTTCCGTTGGCTTACTCAATTTACACACAAAAGGTCTTAGGTTCCTTTGGGAAAAAAGTCCAGCTAGACAAAGAAAGGACAGAGGACCTTTTCCTTTCACAGGGTATTTGGATTCATGCATGCATTCATCCATTTAAGAAATCTTTCCCAAAACATCAACTAAGACCCAGGTACTGTGCTAGGTATACAGTGGTAAGCAAAATCAGACATGTATCTGATCATCATAAAAGCTAAAAAAGCTGTGGGTCAAACACACACATGAACTTCAGCCTGATTTCAAGCTCCCTGAATTTATAGGAATGTCTTATTTATCTTTTCATTTTCCAAGAGACTAGCAGAGTGACTTATAAATAATAGGTGACTAATACACATAAAGGTAATGGAAGTTTTTAAACAAAGTGTGTATGATTAGTTTTAAAGTAGTAATAATAACAACCATTGTCATTTATTGAAACCATACTATGCAGCAAGCACTGATTACTCGAAATAATCTTGAAATAAATTGATAGGAGACATTTAAAAATCTATGTAGAACCCACAACCCCCCATAATACTGCCATATCACAAAAAATATTCATTTCTCCTGCGAAGCTGAAGGCATTAAGATGCTGTGTGTACTGATTTTTAAGAAAGTGTCCCAAAATCTCTGGGCCTTTTCCAAATGCCTATGTGAACAGAGGAGAAATTTGCAGTATCTGTGAGACGTCCTTTGAAACTTGGTTTTTGATGAGTGCACTGTGTCCAAAGCAGTGGTTTTCAGGTATCAAGAAGCACCCGGAAGAACTGTTATAACACAAATTGCTGTGCTACATCTCCAGAGATTCAGCAAGTCCAGGGTGGGGCCTTTCTAACAAGTTCTCAGGGAAGGTCGATGCTGACAGTGTAGGGATCACATTTTGATAACCTGCCTTTATAGGATTTCAGTTTCAAAGTCTGAGTCCTACTATGAGAAGGCTCTCTTTAAGAATGTATAAGAGGAAAAGAGTGCGTGTGTGTGTATGCGGTGAGGGGGAGAAAAATGAATGGATGAAGGCCTCAGAAAACTCTCTGTGGTTCACCTCCATCCCAGAATGAGCAATTGTAGTTCTAGGGTCTACAGACAGGTGAAACGACAGAAGACAGCTAGGAACAGTGCAAGAAATATTCAGGTATTATCTTTCAGCTTGATTACTAGAGGATAAAGGGAAAGGAAGCTCTTAGACTAGAAATCCCTTGCTATCCTGTAATTTATATTTCATTACAAAACTAAAGAATAAAAGTAGTCTTATCCAGAGAGGGGAAGTCAGTCCAAATTCTGGAGATTCCTAAAATTAGTGTGTGTCTCTGTGTGTTAAATCATCCCAGTTTTATAAAAAAGGAATTGAGGCTCAAAGAGGTCATTTTGGAGGATCTCCAGGATCAAAAAGGAAGAACACCAAAAGCTGAGTCTGGTCCAGGTCTCTCTGGTTCCAGAGTGTATTTACCCATTGGAATTATTCTGTCTCTGCCTTCTCTAAGTGGCTCCAAATATATAAATGTGTGTGTGTGTGTGTGTGTGTGTGTGTGTGTGTAGTAGCACCTGGCACACAGTAATTCCCAGTAAGCATTTGAAAGTTTTTTTTTTTTTTTTTTTTTTTTTTTTGGTGGTGGGGGTAGTAGCACCTGGCACATAGTAATTACCAGTAAACATTTGATAGTTTTTTTTTGGTGGTGGGGGGATGTACATACATCTACTATTAACTGCTTACTGGGAATGGGAATTACTATGTGCCAGGTGCTAGTCATATTTATATTAGCTCATTTAATCTTAAAAACAATCTGAGAAGGGGATCTTACAGAATCCCAATTGTATAGATAAGGAAATAGAGGATTAAATAAAGTCTCAGACCTTGGAGAACTTGCAAAAGAAAACAAACAACAAGGACAAAAAAACGAACTCCAAACCAATTTTACCTCAGAGCTAGAATTTTTCATGTTTTTTCTTTCCTAATACCAGCTACCTCCCACCATTTGGCCAAATTGGTCTGTCTCTGGCTCTTTATTTAATTATGTTTCTACGGAATTAGATTATCAGTATCAAATTTAATATGTAAATGAAATATCCAAGAATATAAAGATTTCTACTGTTGAATATCAATTATTAGAGAAAAATGTGAAGAGTTCCACCACATTGAAACTGTGGCTAATGGCCACATTAGGGATGATTTATATCTATATTAGAGTTTCAGTTAATGTGAAATAAAATGTATCCTTAGTTTTTTCCATTCTCAAAATGAAATAAACCTGAATAAATTATTATGAATTGTGTACTATCTTACGACAGCTTTTTGCAGTTAAATTGATTAATTGTTATTATCCAATGCTGAAATCATTTTCTTGTGATAACTGGGCAAGTGAGTTAAAATTTTCTAAGGAGACCAAAGGCAATCCACTCTGACACAAGGTGAATAGTTTTAAGCTAAAGGTGACTTCCTTGCAGTATCCATGGCTGTCATGAAAGTAGATGTTAAAATATCAGATCTATTTACCCTCTTCTTACTTCACAAAACAGAATGAGTTATATAGTTATAATTTACACGCCTCTTTAAGGGCAAGTACAATGCCAGTGCTGGTCTGTACTGACATAGAGATAACACTGGTTAACAACGGAATGATTATATTATAAAAAGAAAGGACAAAAAAATTGGGTTAGTATTAGAGTTTATGGAACTCAGAGAATGAGGCCAATTCATGCTACTCTGGAGAATTCCAACCAGCTACAAGCACACTTTCCTTAAGGAAAAAACAAAAACTGGGTTATAATTCATTAAACTTGGCTCCTTGAGGTCTGATGAGATGAGCACAGGGAACCTGCTCTCTTAGCACAATCACTACTAACTGACAATGTAGTCGAGAACAGGGTCTGTTTCCATAATACTCTCTTAAGCTGTTTGCTCCCAATACTCTTTTAATAATAATGAAATAAACTACCTTCTCAATTTTTCATTTCAGTGCTAAAAGTTACTTATATAGTTTTCTAAGGAAGTTCACCATGAGCATTGAGTTTCAGAGGCATGTTGAACTTTCTTAGGACATCTCATGAGCTTTTTACTTTTGTTTTTTCACTTGATGCATAAAACCCCTAACAGATACAGAATATATTCTTCTTTAAACATTTCTAAGGGCCCTCTTCCCATCTCCTATGTAGTGACAGGGCAAAAACACTGAGTCCTAGATGCTCATGGCCCCTGATTAAGACCTGTGGTTGGGAATTCATGGGACCCTATTTAAACCACCTGCTTTGATGGCTCATTGAAATCAGAAGGAGATTTTTACTCTCTCACTGACACTGTATAAATGTTAGTTCACTACAGGGAAATGGTTGAGAGGGGACAGACGGAGAACTGTGAAGAAATTAAAGGACCTTTAATGGATTAAAAACAAAAAGCCATTCTGCTCTCCAGGGTGCACATTTATTTAGTTAGATTTTCTTAAAAATATTCTCAAGCCTCCAAGTTCAATCGACCAGAATGACTTTAAAACCTTTTTTTTTTCCTGCTCCATTGGAGAGATATGCCTTTACATGATTACTTTAATGACAATTATCTATCAGGTAATTGCAATGTAAAGCTAATATGTAAGTATGGCAGAACCTGTGAATTTTACAAGTCTAATGTCTCCAGGGTATTTTAAAAAGCACTTTGGCTACATTTTTAAATCTAACTAACCATTCCAACAGACATGGGAGTTACTACTCTTGGGCAACATTCAAAAGAATGGGTAAAGTTAAAAAGAGTAATTTTCTGAAGTATTTTTGACAGCAATTAATTTCACAGGGGATACATTCATATCCTAAATCTCCAGGAAAAAATTTTTTTCACTGTAGAACAAGATGCACTTTTTGAAGAGAAATTCCTTTACTAGAGTTTATACTTTATAATGACCTGAACTGTAGAAGAAATATAATTAAGTGGATTCATTACTATTTCTTTTAATAAGGTAACTTAATTGCATTTTCCCCAAACCGCAGAAAATTTACAGTTATTGTTCAGGCCTAAAAAGAAATACAGTTAATCAACCTATGTGTCCATCACTGGATGAATGGATAAACAAAATATTATATATATATATATATATATATATATATATATATATATATATATATGCATACACACACACAGGAATACTATGCAGCCATAAAAAGAATGAAATCATATATTTTGCAGGAACATGGTTGGAACTGGAAGTCTTTATGTGAAACAATTCAGAAACAGAAAGTCAAATACTTCATGTTCTCACCTATAAGCGAAAGGTAAATAATGTGTATACATGGACATAAATTGTGGAATAATAGACACTGGTGACTGGGAAGGGTGGGATGGAGGGAGGGCGGGAGGGGGTGAACAATGAGAACTTACTTAAATGGGTACAGTGTACATTATTCAGGTGATGGTTATACTAAAAGCCCAGACTCCACCACTATGCAATATATCCCTGTACCAAAACTGCACTTGTGTTCCTTAAATTGATACAAATAAAAAAAATTAACTTCAAAAGAATTACAGAAACAGAGTTACAGAAACAAGTTCTATACATAAGCATATTATCATAATTTATTGTTAAAGAATTAAAATTATTGTAGACAATTGATATTTGTGGTCTTTTAAACTTGATATTAAAAATTGAGATCAAAATTTCAGAGAGACTCATTGACAGCATTTTATTTCCATGTTGGCAATAGTTCTCTTCTCCTAATGGTCATTTGAGGAAACATTGGTTTACCTCTTTCCCCATCTCTCTGTATACACTTAAATTCAAAGTATAAATTGTAGGATTACCTTAACATTCAATGTATAGTCAGAAAAGAAACATAATTAAGAAATATAAAAGCTTATCATCTTGAAAAATTAGTTCCTAAATGCCAACTTGGAGATTTTAAACTAATTTTAAGGCAAAACAATGTAATACAAATAAATAACAAAAGCTGATATTCTTCAGTATAGAAATGCCTTCATGTTCATAGTCCAATCCTCTTTAGGCCTTCAGACACAATGCCATTGTGTTTTCTCCCTTTTTTAAATTCATGTGATAATATTGTTTTCTTGCTGACATGTGATCTCTTTTTATAAGGAAATAATTCTTTAAGTTCAATAATGAAGCAATTAATAACAGTCTGAAATAATTTAGATGGCATTGGTCCTTTCTTCTGGAAAAACAAACCAATTCATTGGAATTCTCTTATTCAAAGTTAAAAGGCTGAAATTACTATTTATGTAATAAAATAATGAGAAATTAACAAGCAATACCTTCACGATGACAGAATTATTATTACTATTGCTGCTACTACTGTAATTCTCAAAATTTTTCCTTAGAAACAATTTGGAAGAAAATGACACAGTTAAGGTATCCTGACTTAAAAGTAAGTCAAAAAAATAAAAAAAAAAGATGACTATTAAAGTTTTAATCACTCTGAGGAGAGAGAATGGAAAAAACCACATAGAAGAATCAAGCTGAAGATACAAGTTAAATCAAATTTTAAAGAACATTGATATGAAGCTGTGACCAGTTTTAGAGGTTTAATTAGTAAGGTAATTACATATAGAGCTACTGATGACACACAGCCTAGAGGTTCTATATTAATGAAAATTAACTTTAATTATTTAATTTGTCTAATTAAAAGGTAGTTATGTCACTAGATTTTGAATTACATTAAGCCAAGTACAACACATTACATCCTTGTGTCCACCAAAACCCAACACATTCTTAGCCCTGTTATTAACTCAACATAAGTGAGTTGATTTGAAATTTCTAGTTAATTGACAATTTAAGGCATTAAAGTTGAAAGACTCAACTAATTAAATACATCATTCATTTATTGAATAAACAGTTGCTGAGCATCTGCTCAGGGCTAAATACCATGACAAGTTTGGGGAATGCAAAAGTTAATAAGACACTTAAATGCTTTTTGGCTTTTAAAATAACTTATTAGAAACTGTCATTTCTACATTCTAGGTACTCAATAATAATATTGTAATTGGATTCTCCAGAATTATCATAATTTTGCCAATAGGTAAATAACATTTTCTACTCAGAGAAATCTGTGTTGGCATATCAAATATGTGAAATTTGGAGACAAATAATATAAAAATACATTACTCTCCAAATTCCTAAATTATCAAATTTCCTAGTATAATTATTATTCATTTATTATAAAACCAAATAACCATAGGTTTAATCTTTTAAACTTCACTTACCCAAGCTTAAATTTCTACCATAGTTCCCACATTGAGTAAAATTTAGTCAATCATTGAGTCTTCTTTTAAGAGGTGGGTGCTCGTTATGTTGTCCAGGCTGGTCTCTAACTCCTAAGCTCAAGGGATCCCCCCGCCTCAGCCTTCTGAGTAGCTGGGACTAAAGGCATGCACCAACACACATGGCAGTCAGGTCTTATTTTGTACCCAGACATTCTCAATGGCTTCCTATGTAGTCCTAATTACAGCTCTGCATTTGCAACTTACTATTCTTTTGCATAAATCTTCCAGTTTAAGTTTTTCTTGACTCTGTCTCCAGAAATTACTTTCCTATCACCACACTTTTGAGCTTGTAACCCATGTGTTGCCCTATTATCTTCTTCCTTTGCCTCCAATGATCTAAATGTTGCCTGGATTCTTGGAAACATTTTCCCCTTTCCTGGACTTCCAAAAAGAAGCTCCTCACCACCCTTTCAATTTTTCACTCATCACATCCCTTTTGCAGGATGTCGTTTGCAAAAGACCATATGCAATCTCTATTTAGCATATACAATTTATCATCAATATCTCAAGCTCTCTGTGGTTAGGACCTATGTCTTGGACTTCTGCACAACATCCTCAGAAGTTACTACTCTGCTATAAATAAAATCTCAATATATTTCATTGAATAAGTTAACAATAGTTTTTGAGGTGCTGTGGGATTTTAAAGTACATTCTGAACATATGTGCATTGTAAAAGTGTTAATCACATTTTATTGAAAAATTAAAATTATTTGAAAGTTTCATTTATCAGTAGCATATAGGATAAATCTTTGTTAATCAGAAAAGTCTATTAATCAGATCTAGCATTTTGAATTGTTCCGAAACAATAAAAAATAGAGATCTACGGAATTTATCTGAAGTTTTTGCTCAGTTTATTTTCAGTTTATCTTTACTGCAATCCTAAGCAAGAATGCTCTCCTATTCTCTATTATCTTTATAATTTATCAATTTATTATTTAAAATGTCCTATTCCTGTATGACATTTTACAAAGCTAAATGTTTTTTCTAAAAAGCCCTATATTCTCCACTAATTAGCTGACAATTATATGATTTATCATTTTTAATATGGCTTTCTTTCAATTTATTCAGATAAGCAGGATCTAACATGGGCTTATAAGGTGAACAAACGTAGAAAGTTCTAAAATATTATGATCTCCCTTCAAGCAGGACTTTATAAATGTGTACAATAAATTATGCTAAGTAAATGAGATAATTATTCATTCAATTTAAGAGAAATATACAGGCACAGGCCACATTGTTAGATCTAGATATGTTTAAGGACATCTCTGCTGCTATATTGTTTCTAATTTCAAATGTATTTAAATTGACCCTTTTTTGGTGGAGAGTGTTGGGAGAAAGGAGAAACTCAAAACATGCCGAGGGGTCACTAAAAGCATATTAAGGAGCTTCAAAATTTTCAAGATGAATGGTATAGAAGGATTTCTAAGTTTAGAAAAATTCACTTAGTTTAAGCAGAGATGTCACATTCAATTTCCTCATTCATCCATTGGTCTAAATATATTAAACACTCACTACATTCCACATATTAAAATTTAGAGTATTTTAAAGCCCTTGGTATATAATGTTCCTGTTCAGTGAAGAACTCCATTTTCATTTCTAACAGGTCTAGGATATGCTTATGTATTTTAATGTAATAAAACTACTTCATTTTCCCTGTAGAGAATTTGAAATATTTAGAGAAAGTGTAAGAAAAAAAATTCTCATAACAAACCCTACTACTCAGAGACAACTACCTTTAACTCTTTCACATATTTCGCCCTCCATTCTTTTTCCCCTTTATGTGTGTGTATGCATGTGACATAAGTTAGTTACTCTTTTATATATTTTTCATATTTCTTCTTTATATATAATGTGAGTCATTTCACAGCCACTATCTTCACGGAACTTACGATTTTGTGGGAGAGAGAGATGTGAGACCAAAAGATGAACTAAAATGTAATGTGTAATAATGGTGATTGTACACAGTATAACCCATGCCTACACAAGGGCCCATCCATCAGTCTGGTGGAGTGCAGATATACGTTGTTGAGCTGAGGGTTGAGGAGTGTGGAGTACTTGCAGGAGCTAGGTGATGGGGATGTTGAATGGGGAGCGAGTAGTGATATTGGGTATTTAGGGTCTAAGGCATACCTTGGAGGTGGTAGAAAACTCGCAGTAGAATAGCAGAGTAATGTTTGGGTATAGGAGACAAAGTAGAGGTTGACGGGGCTACCATTTTATGCTAAATAGTCAGGTCTTTCCTTTAGGCCAGGGCTCAAGAAAATAAGAATAAAATAAAAATAAAATAAAATAAAATAATCACTCTCACTGGTTTGTTACACCTGAAAATCTCAGGCCTGATGCAGTGGCTCACTCTTGTAATCCCAGCACTTTGGGAGGCAAAGGTGCGAGGACCACTTGTGGCCAGAAGTTTAAGAGCACTCTGGGCAACAAAACAAGATCTTGTCTCTACAAAAGAATAAAAAATAAAATAAAAATTAATTAGCTGGGTGTGGTGGTGCATTCCTGTAGTCCTAGCTACATGTAGTGAAGAATTTACACGGTCAACAATCAAAACTTGAGATTGAAGCAGGAGGATCATTTGAGTTCAGGAGTAGAGGCTGCAGTGAGCTATGATTGTACCACTATACTCCAACCTAGGTGGCAAAGCAAGACCCTGTCTCTAAAAAAGAAAATATAATTTCCCACTCCCCCATATGATGTCTAAAAGTTAGATCACAGACACTGGAACCAAATTACTGACTTAGAATTCTAGTTCCACCATTCAGTAGCTATTGGGTCATGAGCACATTAACCTATCTGTGCCTCAGTTTCTTTATAATGAAGTAACCATAATATCTAGCCCTTGAGGCTGTTATAAGGATCAAATGAGATAACATTTATAAAGCCGTAAGAATGGTGACTGGCATATAATAACACTATATAAACGGTTGTTAAATAAAAGCAATACCCCTGTAATATCAAAACAAACAAATCTTGATAGCCAAAATTCCTGCTACAGAATAGAATTCATGTGCTTTGGGGTAATTGCTAATGCACTGTATAGTTACTTCTAAAGAATTTCATGATTATAACATTCTATAATGAATCAATATAATAATAGCATTTCTATGGATTAATTTAAAAGATTAAGCATCCAAGCTGATTATAATTGAGCTCATTTCCAGTCTGGTTAATTCTGGCAGTTTTGGAGCAGCAGAGTACTTAGGTTCTGAGTTATTTTTCATTTTGGGCGGGGTGGTTTATGCTCTGAATTAACCATGAGCTCCACTTTAGAGAACTTGAAAAAATTGACTTTTTAGAATATTTTTGGCAGAATATACAAATTGCTTGATAAACTGCAAAAGATTGAGTAATTTTTCAAAACACCCAGACTGCACCTGTTAGATCATTATTATTTCAGAAATTCCATATTGTACATTGAAAATAACCTCACAAGTATATTTTCTGTATTTATGGCCAAGAGCTGGTCATTGGAGATTTATGATGCTCTGCAAAAAACAATGCTGACCTGGCAAGTGCCTCCAGGGAAGGAGTTGCTCAGAAACCAGTGAATGAAATAAATTGCTATTAATTATGGTACTAAGTCTTAACTCCAGCCCACCCCATTGGTTTGTGACCCAAATGTTTTTAAATACCTTAATTCAATTTATAATAATGCTGCCCAAGGGCAACCAATTTGCCTCATATGGTTTTCTAGGACACAACGTAGTATTTTGGCACACTGCACATGCTTAAAAATTATTTGTTAAATTAGTTAAAAATAAATCAAACCAAAGTCATCAACAAAGTCTGTTTCCTATTGAGCCATGAAGTGTTTTGCAAAGAATGACTCTCTTGTCTTAGTTCAGATGCCATCTTGATTTAGGATTTTCACTTATCCAACTTTTCTTACAAGGAATAGTTAATTCCAGTTATTATTTCCCTAGCACCGTTATCTCAGATAGTGTAAACTGAATATCAACACATACATATATCATACTATCAATTCTTTGTCAGGTACTTGATACACTTTAGATTTAATCCTGACAACCACACTGTTTTAAAATGGGCATTTTTCCATCTCTTTTTTTTATAGATGAAAAACCTGAGGCACCAATAGGGGTACTGGTCACACAAGGAGAAAGGGGAGACTTCAGGATTCTTTTCTTCTAAATTAACTTTGAAATCGTTTTACTGTTAGCATCACGTTTTGAGAATAATTTTTGATAAATGTGGTATGCTTTTATCCTAAAAAGTGTATTTTCATCTCCAAATGAAATAGTAGTAATAAAAGTAATAAAACTTTTTATTTCATTTTTTTCTAGCAAGAGATGGTCTTACTTTTACTTCCAACAGGAGAATTCTTAGTCAAAGAAAAATAATCTTTAACACAATTAACAGAAAAAAGTTGAATCTCATTTCATTTCCTGTGGGGCCCTCCCAGGCCTACCATTAATACTCATTGCTACCATTTTGCTTTTCTTTGGTCCATTAAGTAGGCTGACAGTCCTTCATATTTTTATATACTACGTTGAGAAATGGGAATTCCTGTCAAATGTATCTTACGAATAAGCATTACTATAATAAAATTATTAAATGGGTAGATTTAGATGCTAAAACTGGTAGAACCACAATTACAAAGTATGTAAAAAAGCCCCATCAGTTGTCCATACACAAAAGTGGTGTTATATGTTAGTGAATATAAAATATTTTATACTAGAGCATTCTGCTCCCAGGAGTTGTTTTTGTTGTGTTCTACTTTGTTTTAAAGAGAAAATTCTCTAGTAGTATCAGACTCTCCCCCAGGACAAACTTTCAGTTTGTTTCTTTTGTTGTTTTGAGAGAACATATTTACAACTTAATTTTCTTAAGAGGGGTACATTTTTTTGACATCACTATATTACAATTTGAATCAAAACTAAGATGTTGACCATATAACTTCTTCACTGCATGTAAGTATATCAAAACACCATGTTGTATATCTTAAATATAAATAAAAACAAATAAAACCTAGTATACCAAATATGGAGATACTAAGATTCTACTAATGTACACTCTCCAACCATGAGACAATCCATCTAAAGATGAAAGATGAGTAACATATATTAGTTCCTCAATATATTTTAGCAATTATTATTATTATTACTATTCTTATTACTATATATTCAAATCTTTATCCTAAAATCCAGCCATTTTTCTCCAATGCTTTTCTTTTTATGGTTTTCAAGCTTGCTCTTGGGAAACAAGATAAGATTTCTACCTCATGCCTAACCAATTACAATAGGCCTTAAAAGCTAAGCTCCTCAATTGAGATTTTATTTCTTTTCCCAATTACATTCTCCCCATGGGATTTTCTTAGAGGTAAGCAGAGACCAACAGAACCAACAGCTTGATATCCAGGCATAAAAGCCCCAGGAATTATGATTTTGTGTTGGCAGATGGTCAAACTAAGCTAATGGGTGGCAGAAGCAAATAACACCCCAGTTAATTTTCTAGCTCAATCAATTCTGATCTCATCTCAGGCTTATAGCACATTGCACTGTCAGCCCAAATTTAAAAAGACAGTACATTCCCTCACCCTACAGAATGCAGCAATAGATACTACAACCAGAGGACTCAAGTTCTAAGCAGACAGCTTTGAAAGTGGAAGAGACCCTGTAATTCCATGTTGTTTATTAGACTGACTCACATAAGCCTCACTCCTGACAGGGATTCTGTCATGCTGGGTGCAGGAGTGGAACACACCTAGCAAGGCTAACTACTCTTTTTCCAGCCCCTCCTGGATTGTAACTATTAAGACGGGCAGGCATGATCCCAAGTAAAGATCTCAAAATTCAAACTGTTGAAACTCAGAAGTACATCTTCCTCTTGATGAATATAAAACCCATCCTAGAGGAGAAACTAAGATTTTTTTTTTCTACCTAACTGAAAATATGGCAAGGGATTCTTTTTTGTTTGGTTTCTTAGAACATTTCCAAAACTCTGTGACACCATTATCATGATGAAAAATTCCACTTAGGAAGTCACAAAAAATACTGTGGTCTGATGCTGGGGACTATTGAAATATTTAAAAACACAATTATTTACAACTAAAATGTAATTAAGTCCAACAAATTCTTTTTTAATATTTACTATATATTTCCCACTGTACTACACACTAGGAAAGCGAAGGTGAGTCAAGCCCAGGGCCTGATGTAAAATAAGGACATTCACCTTTCTGGTTCTCTTTGGATTACATGTATATTATAATGCATAATACAATATCAGTATTTGCTCATGAGTTCTCCATTCTTTCAACGTCTTCTTTTCACATCTCATTATGGTAAGAATCTGTAATTCTAATGAGATCAAATATGCCAGTTTATCACAGTAACTAATATACATTCCAAAATTGCCAACAATCTCCACATTTGCCTACCGTTCGGCTCTTTATTTTTAAGCAGTAACATGGTAGAAGAGACACATTACTTCTTTATGTTCTTGTAAGAAGATAATTATTCCCATCTACCCCAAAATATTGGTATTATGAATGACTTAGGGGGTACATATGGGAGACAAATTTAAAACAAAAAATAATCTGATTCTTTTATTGGCCAAAGGAAATCTGTTTGCTTCTGTTAAAATCTTATAATATTTTTAACAGAGTTCAGTTACTTCTTATTTTCTTCCTCCACATATCCACATTGGTAATTGTTACACTTAATTTTTATTGAACTATTTAAACTTCATTTTAATGTTTTACTGTCTCTTTCTTCCTGTTAAAACTTTACTAACTCATCTAAAGGATGGTGTCCTAGTTCAATGTTAATGATGTGCTTGATGTAATCTCCCACTCAATACACACACATCCCCAACACACACATAGACACACACATATACACACACACACATATATATACACACATACACACATACATATCTACACACAGTTTGCAGTTTATTTTTTCTATTGATTATTCTTAAAAAGTTAAACAAAGATAGAGAACATCACAAACTACTTTTCCGTTCTAGTCTCAGTGCTTCACAGGCTAGTTAATTCTAAGGTAGAAAAGATGGTAAGGAGATTAGTTGCAGGGACTAGAAAATTCTACTTTAGCAGCTGAGACTTTTTCTCTGCCTGCTCAAACACTGAACTTTTTCCACTCCCAGATCAAGTCCAATCACATCTTTTCTGAATCACTGCATTAAAGTGATTCCTTCTTTCTTTGAGTTCTTTATGCTTTAGTCATTTACAATTGAACACTAAGTTATATACTTTAATTGTTCTTTTGTTGTTTTCCAAATTCATATTTTGCCTCCTGCTAAATCTGAAGGTTTCTTGAAAACAAGCAATATAATCACTTGACTATACTACATTAATAGTATTTGAATGGTAATATGCATGTGAAGAGTTAGTTAATACATACTGGTGAACTGCTTCACAATAATATTCTACTCATAAAACCATGAGTGTAACTTGTTGCAGGGTTAGCAAGGAGCCAGAGGAGCTTAGCAAAGCCATGCTCTGTGGGAAGAGTACAAAAACACAAAAACGTTAGAGAATTCTTTTCCTTGGCATCAACTCTTCTGAGATGGAGCCATATAGGCATTCCATAAATGTTAACTGATTGTGATCAACATATTTTACTTCCAAGATTTCACATCCAACCACCTGCCACTCATCCACCTCTAATGTTAGATTCCAAAGGGACTGCAAGTTCTGTTTTCCAGGTTTGCCTGCTTGCTCCTCTGGATTCTGCTTTTTAAGGTAGGAGGCAAGTGGCTGTGAGAAGGAACACATACTGCTTTTAAAGAAATCTGGGCAAAACAGTTCAATAAGTGCCTGAAAACGAGGAGAATTATAAAGTTACTGAAAATAAGAATTTAAAAGAGGAAAAACTAATGCATTCTAAATTCTACATTACCAGAGCCCACTTTTACTTGCTTCACAGTTTTCTTCAGTTCCAGGAACCTGCAGGAACCCTCCTGAGGCTGAGTGCCATTTTAAATTTTCCCTGTGAGTAGAAGGCCCTGTGAAGTAGCTTTAGAAGTTTTGGAAGGTTTACTGGCTTTGGTATTTTGTCAGGCAGTTCTTTTGATCAATTGCTGAGCCTGACACCAGAAGGCCCTCCTCCTCCACCTACACCCTACAGCTCTACAACATCTGAAGTCGCCTCCAGTTTCTATTTTGTTTTTGTTTTTTCCTCAAAAGAAACCAGAAACCCATGTGGGCATCCTGTACTGGCTTTTTATAAACTCTGTAATTCTAGAACCCTGGACATCAGAAAGACTACCACCTCTTTAAAAGTGACTGAGCTATAAGGATTCAATTAAGGATGATGAAGAAGAAATTGCTCATTCCTTTGTATGTTTCCCTTATGCCAACCACAGAATACAATAAATAGCATGGCTGACGAGATTGTTCCACAGAACCTTTCATCAGATGTATTTGGGGAAAAAGCTTATAATTTAAAAATAAAACTCTTCAGAATCACCTCTGCCTGGTAGAGTTTTTCCTTCCCCAGGGATTCTCTACAAGGTAGGTTTTTGCTTCCCCAAAGATTCTCATGTACAAACAAGCACTTTAACAGTACTATTAATACAACATTTTAACAAAAGGTGGGAGTAGTAAAGATTTGTTTTTTGTTTTTTAGAGCACCATGATGGGTAATTTTTGTTTTATGTGCCAACTTGGCTATGATGACCAGTTGTTTGGTCAAACACTGGTCTAGATGTTGTAAAGGTACCCTGTAGATGTAACTGGCATCTAAATCAGTTGACTTTAAGTAGAGCAGATGACCCTACATAGTGTGGCTGTACGTTATCCAATCAGTTGAAAACCTTGAGACCGAAGACAGGTTTCTCAGAAAGGAGGGATTCTGCTTCTAGACTGCAATATAGAAATTCTGCCCGAGTTTCCAGCTTTCTAAGTAAAGACTGCAACTAACCCTTACCTGAATCTCCAGCCTGCCATTTGCCCAACACATTTCTGACTTGCCAGGCCCTACATGAGCCACTTTCTTAAAAATCAAGCAATCTATAAATACTCATATAGATTGCTTATTTGCAGTTATTTCTAATTATTTTTTCTCTCTTAAATTAGTGTATATTGCTAGACATTAGTCAAGAGAGTATCATTTCAGGAGTTATGAATAAATAAAATTTTCTCCCAAATAAATGTTTTAATTTTTCTTCCATCATGCTTTAAATGTATGTGTTAAAAAGTCAAATCCCTTCATTTAATAATCTGTGAGCAGATATGATGATGTAATAGGTAGCACATTAAGATCTAAAGGAAAAGAATAGGGGAGGATAGGAGTTGGGGTGGTGGGGGCAGCAGGTGGTACCTATTTGCCAAGTTCCTCTTTCTCAGTTTCGCCTGTGGTCTAGTCTGTGAACAGATGAATAAATAATTAGAATTCTCTCTTTCCACCTCTGTTTTTCTTGCTATTCTGAAGTGCCTGAATATGCCTATAGGTAACTGTGGATCCAAGTACCGGCTATAGGAAAAGAATCTTGTCATGTTGTGTTATGGTCGTAATGCTACAGAAAGTAGCATTAAAAGGAGGTGCTGAGGCATGCCCATGGTTGAGACGTATTTGCGGCAGGCTCCGAGTCCTGCCACCCAGTACTCCACACAAACTGAGCTATGGAAGAAATAAGTATACATTTTTCAGCACTGAATTAAAGATGCCTCTTTTCCCAGTACTCTATACTAGCAGTAGAAATGAATTCCAGGGATGTGCAGGACAATGACACAGACAAATGGTTCTCTGCTGCATTTCTGCAGTCAGATATGGGAACTGCAGAAACATTTGCTTTGAAGATACATAATATCCAATAAGCAAAGAAGCTGGGTTTTTTCCCTGTGAAGTTATCCCCAAGAGAAAAAAAGATCAGAATTAGAATGCTTTGTAAAAGTATTTAAAACTTTATATGTTGGCACCCAAGAAATGTAGCTCCACTCACCCAGTATCAGGTTATCTCTTTTGATTTCTTTTCTAACCAACTGAAATAAGGAGTATATGTATTCTGAAAGGCCAAGACAATGTTACATTTCTTGCTTGTCAAGTTAATTAAACCTCAGAAAATAAAGGTATTTTGTAGAATAGTCATATGTGATCACATATTACATGTCAATCTTCACAATTTATAAGCATTAGCATATAAGCTCTATTAACCACTGTGTCTCCCACAGATAGAACAATGCCTATGATACTCACTCATCTTTGTTTTAGGAGTAATCAGTCATTTTTAAAAGACATGACATCATTTAATTGTCATTATGGTTTCTGAGGTTCTTCATATTCTAAATGAATGTTTACTCCAAATGGCCAACAATTTGCACGAGGTTAACAGAAGAATCAGGCATTTTGTGTTTTGTCTTGCTTTCAGAATAACAGAATTTCCTTCCTAGACATAAATAAATGGAGTTTGACTGTGAACACCAATTATGGAACCCAGGTCTATAGAAATACACTGAAAATAATGCTGCAAATCACTAAAGCAAGAGGATAATTCACAACAAACATCAGTATGGGGCTGTACCAAATGGAACCATCCAAAGGTTCCCTGCCTCAGGTAACAAGCTTTAAGCAATGCTTGTAATAAGCCCTGGGGAACAATTATGACTAGAGAAGACATGAGTAGAGTCAAGGTGTCTCAACGGTGTCAGGACACAGAGAAGTCAAGAGATATAGACCAGATTTGGCAGCTAATTTTAGATTATTAAGTAGCATCACATTATCAACCATATGAATTTATTAAAGCAACTTTAAAACTTTATTCAGATGAACTTACCCAGACTTCTCTGAGACAAAGCAAACAGAAAATATTTTCCTAAAAGATGTGCAATGTAAGAGTCCTCCTCTCTGCTTAAAAGCATAATACGTTAAAATATCAGACTGATATGTGATCTCATCTTAAATATTTCCTGTAAGCTTCATCTTCCTGTTTTCTTTAGCAATCTATTCCCCTTCTGTCCTTAGAAAGCAAAGGGTATTTGATGCTAATGTACTTTGTTGCAATATATACACATTTCTCCCTTGTTCCAGCTTTCCTAAAGACATGAAAAATAGCATTGAATCCTGTTTCTGGCATGGTCAATGTTATTCGGCTATAAATTTTCTGTGATTTAGTACATGATTTTGGTTGACAATTTCTACTTTTACTATGCAGTATAACTAATTAAACATTAAGAAGCTTTGTTGTCATGCTGTTGATAAAAATGGCACTTGCAAAAATTACTAATGACTAATTCTATAAGAAAGGACACACAGGGTTTTCTTTCCTACCCACAAGGACTTCTGAATTATGGAAAGTGAGGTCTAGACAAGATCAAACAAGGCTGGAAGAGTGGAATCAGGGGCTGGACCCTGATTTGAGTGAGGAGGTTTAAATCTATGTGCTTATCAATAGATTTAAATGTTAACCAAATAATAATGTCTCTGAAATTGTATATAATTAAGAATACATGAAATTTACATTAGAGGGTAATGCCTTTTAATATAAAATTATTATTCAAATGCTGTAGTAAATTCCTGAATTTACTACTCCTGTCCCAGGAGTTAATGGAGTTTGCCAGCTGAGAACATACTGTTTTTTTAAAAAAATATAATACAAACTTTTTTTTCTATAAACGCAAAAATAGCAATTGAAGGGGGAGGGAGCGAAAATTCTGTCCTATGTTCAGTGTCTGGAAGCAAAACATATGCTCAAATTTTTGTTCTTTGCAAATAACTACTTTTCAATAAAACAACCACTAAAAGGATATATTGTCAAAACAAAACACTGTTTTCATGAAAAATGACTTAAAAAGTTAAAGTAGAATTTATGAATTTCTAAAGACTGAATTAGGTTACATTGCCTAACATTTCAAAATCAACCTCCTAACATTTAAGTAGATTTTCAGTTACACATATACTTTAAATAAAATGTGGTGGTATTTTATCACTAACATCACACATGGACAAACCACATTTAAAACCATCGTTACATTTGTTTTTCCAACATTTCCTCTGGTTTAATTCAAAAAGTATATAATAACTTCATTTATGAAATTCCTACTATTTTTCAGGTATTTTCCATGCATTATCTCTCGTTTAAAATATTGCTTTCAGTATTTTATTTAAAGAAAATAAGTTTCAAAGAATTTGTGTAACAGCCCAGGTGACATAGCTGGTGTACGGCTGAGCTAGAGTTTAAACCATGTTTATCAGGCTTCAGTGCAGTTTTCTCCCCATGTTACCCAGACAGAACCAGCAAACCATAAAAAGTTTTATAAGCACCTGATCTCAGATAAAAATTGAGCGCCAAGTTAAAGACGAACCCACAGGTGCCCACAGTATTTTTATTGTCACCATCAGTAGTGTTCTCAATTCCTGAGAAATAATAATTTTGGGGATCTGGAAACAAGAAATTGAAATTCATAGCATTTCTTAGAAATTCCTTCAACCATAAATTATTATGTACCTTTAATAATATTTTGTTTTAAGATAACAATGAGTGACCATAATCATAAATTGTGTATCATTTTTCTGTAACAGACTTATACATACAAAAGTGTCAGAGGCTTTTCTATAAAAAAGATATACAGTTTTTATTATTAAAACATATTGTGAAAAGAAAACATATATATTTTTATAACATCAAAATATGCTTACCTGACATACATATTTGGTAACAGACAACTGTCATAGTAGCGAATGTTAACACAAAATAAATGTCCATAAAATTATTTTTTAAATTGTAATATAACACCACAGCTATTTAATATTTAAATGCTATTATTCTTAAAATGAAATTTTGAAGCAGATAAACTAACTGCTCTCTCTGAAAGTCTTGACCTTTGTTTTGTGACGAATATTCTATTTGCAATTTTCTTTTCATTTTTGCATTGACATTAGTTGAATAATTAAGAGTAAATCCGAAATGGTCTTCATGTTAGGCATTAAGGTGTATATACTGATCCATATAAGCTAATTTTCTCTTTGAACATAATAGTTTCTAGGTTTATCCAGAGTTTGGTTTTGCTACTGAAATTGACATTGCTTTTGTTAATTGAAGTTTTTAATCATTTTCAGATTTCATTTCAAAGTAGTTCACAACATTCAACATTTACATCTTTTTTTTTTTTTGCATTTTAAGTATTTGTACACAACTGTACCCTACAGCAAATATTCAAACACTGGAAAATATCTGTGAATGTTATTGGATAACATTAAAATAATGTAAAATTTGAATTGCTCAGCAACACTAATACTACACAGAATCAAGTGTAGAAATTGTTAATTCAAGGATACATTTTGCCTCCAAAACTTGTTTCTTGGGACACTATAGGACTTACATAAAGTATATTATGTGTAAAAACATATAAACATATTTTGTATTTACAAGTATGATTACTCACTGTTAGTAGCAGAATAAATAAATTGTGATTTAGGTAAACAATAGAATACTATACCACAATGGCAATGACAATGACAATTTAGAAACATAATATTCAAGTCTCCTGACACAGAAGCCTACAAACTGTGATGATTCCATTTTTACAAAATACAGAATCAGGCAAACTAATCTACTTAGTTAAAGTCAGAATGTTGATTACTTTCAGGGGTGCAGTGTGTAACAGCCAGGAAGGGAGCACCAGGATGGCATGCTTCTGGGAGCTAGAAATATTCTGCTTTTTGCTAAACACATGTGTGCACTGAGTTTGTGAAAATTCATTTATCTGTATTCTTAGTATGCTTCGATAAAAAGTTAAGAAGGTAAATATAAAGCACAAAAAAATGTTACTTCAAAACTTTTGACGAAAGCAGCTTACCTTTTGAACTAGTTTCTGCAGCAGACAAGAAATTAGAAGTCAAAAAGATTTTTTAAAAATTTACAGGAAAAACACTAAGAAAAATCACTGAGACTCCTATCTTATCATTAGATATAAATGGACATATTGTTTGGTAAATGTTATTTTCTCAACAATGTATCAATCAAAGCTGTATTAATTGTATTCTACTTATCTTGTCAATTTAGTTTTTTAGCAATTCAAATTTTCTTATGCCTACACATATTAACAGTACCTAAATGAATACTTAAAATGAACTTGAGAAATGAGCTTTCAAATAATGCATTTCTGTGATTCAAAATGTTTGTTTGTGAGCAAAGCAACTCCAACTTCTACTAAAAAATAAATTATTTAGTTTTGAAGATCTATATGAAGAGTGGAAATTAGACTAAATATCTTACTAGAGATCATGTATTCATGTTTTGCGGCCCCAGTATCCAGCATTGTAGCTTCGTAGGAGATAAATATGAACCATGTTTTCCGAGAGCACATTATCTTTCCATGAAAGTGTAGTAATATCTACACTTGAAACTCTATGGAAACTTGAAACTCTATGATAGTTTGAAACTCACTGCTCACAGGTACATACAACTCTGCTTTAAACTAAGTTGCAGTAACATAGAAACCCATAGGTTTTAACAGTATTGTTTAATGGAGTTTACCAGCTGAGAACATACTGTTTTTTAAAAAAAAAATAAAATACAAACTTTTTTTTCTATAAACGCAAAAGTAGCAATTGAAGGGGGAGGGAGCGAAAATTCTGTCCTATGTTCAGTGTCTGGAAGCAAAACATATGCTCAAATTTTTGTTCTTTGCAAATAACTTGTGGAAGAAAAAGAAAGATTGTGAAAATAATGCAGAATATCTTACAAATGAAGTTATTTTCAAATAAGAGACTTAAGAATATAAAATGAGACTTTCGTTTCAGTATCTAATATTACTAAGCAAAGTGAAATTGCCATAAAGCCACATTCTGTAACTATAGCAACCTTGCAAGGTAACACAAAAGGGCTCATCTTTATGCAACAGTTTTAGAATATCTATGATCCTGAATGTGACAGTATGTACTATCTTTTTTGGTCTGCTGTGACATCCTAATACATAGATATTATGAACTATATCCAATGGTTCATTCTTTATCAGTCAAGAAAGCTATATCTTAGAAACATGTTTAAAATTAAAATGAAATACGTTTAAATTTAAAATAAAACAGGTTTAAACAGTTAAACTTGCTAACCATAAACTACCAAAAAAAAAAACCCACAAGTGATATCACTGTTGCTATTTTAAACATAAATAAAAATATCATACTTATTTGTATGTTTATTTCCAACTACTATTTTATACCTGAATAAGAAAATCTCATCAAAGTGCTATGATATCCCCATAATGACAACTTCCAAAATGAAATTTTCTTGGTCTCAAAGCACACAAAACTCTGACACAACTGAATGAAAATGTAAAAATGAAGTTGTCCCAGGAGATATGAAGTCATACATATTTACTGAAGCCAGCAGAGAGCATCATTAAAAATTCCCATGGTAGACTCAATGTGAAAGATAATTTATTCCACTTAAATATGCCTGATGATGATATTAGAAAATAATCTAAATTAAGAACTCTTGGATAAGTTGATAGGTGTCTTTTTGCTCAGAATGTCTAAATCGTAAATATTTCTATAAACACACACACACACACACACACACACACACACGTCTATACCATTTAATGTAGTCCAAAGAGATTTGAGTTAGAAGTACATTTTAGTTAATTGTCTCTCCTCAAATAACTCTCTGTGGGGGAGAATAAAATACAAAATAAAATATCTAAGGGAATTCACCCCACAGACTAAGTATAAAGAACTCTGTAATTTGGTTTGAATGAGCTTTTGGTTTTTTGGTTTAACTAATACAGAGATTTTTATTTGATCATTGTATAGACTAGTGAATCCATTTTTGTGCTCCTTTTTAAGTAGTCTACTGGGGAGTATAACAAACATACACTGATGACTTAATGTGAAACCAAACACAAAGGTGTTTACCCAAACACTTTTCTAACTGGCTAGATAACATGTACTAAAAATAAAGGCCCATAGAAATGAGGAGAATGAAAGGAAAAGAGGTGGTAGAAAAATAAAGATAGAAATTTACTTAATATTTTTCAACATATATTGTCAAATTTTTATCTAGATTGTTCTTTCTGGAATGCAATAAAATGATGGTTTGAACAAAGCAGTGGAAAAACACGTGATCCCAATTTTGGCTTGTTTGTTTTATATAATATTGTGGTTTCTATTCAAATTAATATTTCTAATTTTAAAAAAGGAAATTTGCATTAGGACACACAAAATTACTATGCAAGGAATAAATTAGACAATCTCATAAGATTTGAGATGTAGAAGATTACAAACAAAAAATAATTATAAGCATGACTTTGAAGGCCAAAGGGAAGTTATTTGCTGCTTACAAACAAATTCTATTATTAAAGTCTGTATTCTATCAATAGTCATTTGTGTGACTGGGTGGGAGTGTTTGTGTGAAACAGACAATATGTCCATCTGAGAAACAGTAAGCTGACTGAACAGTCATGAGATTATTTGCTCATATACTGCCTGGCAAATTTTAACTGTCCTTTAAGGATACAGTTTTTAATTTTGTTCTTTTTGTGTCTAATAATAGCTATATTATACTTTGGAGAGCCCAAAGTCTAGAATATTCAAAGAAATAAATTAGGGTTATTATCTCAATCATTAATTCATAAACGTGTTTCTCATATAAGCACATCACTGGCCTTATTCTTCTTTAAGAAAAAGAACTAGTCAGTTAAATTTCAAATAATTTTTAGAATATATTAAATTTGGATGAGAACTACAATAGAAAATAGGGGTATTTAATGTATAGTTGTTAGTCTTATTCATCACTTTTAAGAATATATTTTTCTTGAAAAAGCAATAAAATTATCTCAGAATGCAAGTTACTAGTTTTATTTTATTCACTTTATGTTTTCAGTATCCAAAATGGATTTGACCAACTACAATTACGTTAGACTGTTCTCCATTTCTAAATAAAGTTCTGATGTTGAAAAAGAAAATTTTGCATCTCTCTTCTACTTGATCCATTAGAGGAGTTCGGTCTACTTTTCTTTCTTGGATTGCCAAACTCTACATAAAAACTAAGCAGCTAAATATTTGCAAAAGGAATATCAGTTTCAGATACGTACTAGGCTATTTAATACTGTTTCATTGAGAAAGCTGGCCATATTTGTAAACAGTTAGAATAGCAAAGATCTTCAGAAGTATTTTCCTGCTCTAAAAAGATGAAAAACTCCTGGTACATTTCTCAGAGTGGGAAAGAAGTTGGAAACGCAAGAAGCTTTGAGAAAATGGCTCCAATCATTTTAATGGCTCACTAAAGTCTTTAGTGTTTAACATCTGTGAGTTTATCTAGTCTTTCGTTTACTCTTTTAATGTCTATGAGTCAAAATGATGAGGCTGAATTGTGTTAAGTGATATCACATCCTTGAGCTTGCCATTTGGAATACATTTTTCATAATAGCTAATAACTATCATTTATTTAATTTTTCTATCGTGTTTCATTCATTAAATTCATGTTCATGGTCAGGGAAAAGATGAAACTTAGTCACCAATATGAGGGTGTTCAGCAACAGATTCAAGGTGCTCTTTAGTAATCATGCTTTTTACTTTAACCTCAAATTGTTTTACTGAATTCCAAAGTTGTTGACACCAAGACTCATACCAAATTGTAAAATAGTTATTTTTTTATCTTTCCTTTCTGGAAAATAAAACAATAAGGTACCTTTTAAGTAAAAAAAAAAAAAAAGTAGAAGAGGCTGGATAATGTATAATCAGTGGTATTTTCATTTACATGGTCTGTTTTCTATTGGTCACCATTTCTACACTGAGAAACAATGATATCTGTCTTAATCTTTCAAGATCAGTACAGTGTCACAGCTGACTGGAAGAAATGACAGACAATTCTTAAAAACTGGGAGAATGAAGTATAGAGCTTCAAGAAAAATGATATCAATACTAACCCCAAACATTAAAACAACAAACCAACCAAAAACACAACGCAAAAACCTTTGGAAATTATAAAAGAGAAAGAAGGGATTGGTCAAGATCAAACAATTATACAAATTGGAGGGAAAGAAAGTCCATGAGATTTAATTGGAGGCAGGTGAAATTCAGAATTTCTTCCAACTGATTTCATGTTTGCAAGGGTCTTATGCCACAGCCAGTACTAAAGAGAAAGAACAGCTCAGGGCTAAGGTGGAACTGAAAGCAGTGAAAGTAGGAGGGAGGACCATAAAATTAGCCAAGTAACCTGGAGAGTTAAAACAGTCTAGAGATTTTTTCTTCCTTCTTTCCTTTCTTGCTCCCTCTGTTATCTTTTCCTCCCTCTCTCTCTCACTCTCTGCCTTACTGTCTTCATTCCTCTCTGCAGAAAATCATGAACTGCAATAACTGTAATCCACCATTAGCTTCAGAAAAAAGTATAATGTTGCTTGAATTTTATGCCAAAATATGTTTTGACAATGATAATTTCTAATTGCCCTGACAATGTATTCTCAATAATCATACAAAATCAGAACAATAATGCAGGTACTCAATTTGAATTCTGTGGCTTAACTCTTGTTTGATTTTCATATGATAATTAGCACAAATCATTACCTACATTCTATCTCTGATTAAGAAATGGCTTCCTTTAACCTGATGGATTTGATAACTACCTGTTCAAAGATTTTGCTTTCCTCTTTATTATTTTCTTATGATTGTCACAGCATGAAAAATATCCTTGTTGTTTGGAAATATCAGATTATAATATGTTTAATTGGTATTCTACTTTACAGATCAAACTATCATAGCCTAAAAAGTAAAATCTAACCTTAACACAGACAGCATATTTTCATCATGTTTAATCACAACTTGATCATTTCTCAGTCTTTCAGCAAAAAAGATTCGGTTTTGAAACATGGAGATTGGCAAAGAATTTTAGCTTTGTAAACTATGAGTCTTCTTAACTGCTCTTCATGTATTTAAAATCCCACCAATACTTGAAATTGGCTTATATCAAATGTGCCCTCTTTCTTTCTGACTTTCCATCAGACGGGAAGTGTTCTCTGAGCTCTTCAAAATACTTTGCTCCTGAGTTATTTGTGTACTCTTGCATATTAATATGTTGAGTTGCTTAAAGATAGTAACCATGTTTTGGTTTCTTTGATGTCTCCCACTCTACTTGTCAATGATTTGTACACAGAGCAAATGCTCAATAAACACTCCGTAAGTTCATGCAAGTAAAAGTAATTTGTTTCCCATCTAAACAAAGGAAAAACCATGTCTGATGGCAGCTTTCTTTCCGATTCTATCTGTTTAACCTCAAATTCAAAATAAGAAGAGGTTGTGGTATAACGTGTACATTATTTTCAGAAAAAACATATTTTTACATTCAAATATAACTTGTAATTAAGTCCAAGGTTATTTATGTAGTAGAGCTAAAATCCTTCTTATTGGTAATAGCTTTTCATTTAAATATAGAATAAGACTTTGGTTACATGATTAATTTATGTTGGAATATCACACTTTTAGTAAACTTTAGAAAATGTAAATACTAATAAAATGTTATAAAACAAATTTTATAAAGCATTCATAAACATAACTGCATACAATATATAACCACTTTTATTAAAATATAGCATTTAGACTATCATACCAGGTTATTCCTTCTAAAACATTTAAGTATTTCCTTTCAGTTACTTTTCAGTAACTAATAAAAATGCTTATTTTTCCTAAACATATCTTTAAAATAAATCTAATTTATCAGTATTTAAAATATTTTTAATAATGCTGCATGTTAATAACTTCCTACTTTCTATGTGCTCATTCTGTAACATGAGCTTCAGGTTTTCCTTTAATATAGAGGCTTAGTTTTAACTCAAACACACAAATATGCACTGGGCAGAGTTCTCAACTTGTATAATGCTTCTTTGTATTTAATATCATGCATCACCTACTTCCAAAATTCCTTTTGCTATCTGTTATGTTTAGCAAAACAAATGTGTCATCCAGCAGTGTCATTAATTAGAATTCCTTGTAAAAGGTGGTGAAGTGAGTGAAACTCTAACCTTAAAATATATTTTGGATCACTCTGCTTCACAAAACTTAGAGAAGACATTAACACTGCCCTTTAAAAATCAACCACTCAGTAAATGTACCATATACATTTTATCTATATCACATAATGAAAGAGTAAAACATAATTAAAAGACTGAAACTGACTTATTTTATTTAATGGAGGACATTTAAGGAGTGAAAATTTATTTCAAAGTTTTACTTAGATTTTTTTTAATGTGAATCGTTAGTTTTGTCAGACCATAATTGTCCTTAGCTACTCTTTAATGGTATTTAACACTCACCCATATTTCAAAGTTCAGATCAAATATATCTGATATTTGTCAGACTACGTTAAGTATGAATGTGATTATTGCAGGAGAACTTTTTATTCTTCTTAAAATAGTATCTTCAGGGAAAATTTTATTTCCATTTATATTGAACAATTAAAACAAAAAACATGAACAGAAACCTACACTGAAAAATTCATTTAATTATCACCTTACCAGCTCATAATTACTTCATTCTGAACTGAGATAACGACTGTAGTGAAACAACTGTATTTGTTTTATTGTATTATGCACAAAACACAAACTTCTAATGATTAGGTTTATTTTCAGTAATATCATTATTCTTAAATTTTACTTCAACGTAAAGAATAAAATAAGTAGATATTTAATGCCTTAACCAAATAATGCAAAACTTAACATATTTTAATCCCTATTTAGTGAAAACAAAGCACATGTTTATACATGGTCAATATTTTACTACTTAGGGGCTTAGATTTTTACTTCTGGCCAAAGGATACTCCACAGCCTCCTCGAAGTCAAAATTTCAGCCAGGCAAACAGTCTGTCAGTAACTATTGATTGTTTAGAGAAAATACTAGTGATTTATTGAAAGATCTATGCTTCTGTCTTTCAATAGTAAATGAAGAAGTAGGCCAAGTGAACCATGATATGATGACATGGAGAAAAGAATATCTCCAAAATTGCTGCTGCAGATGCAGAAGAAATAGAAAAGTGGCAAGTTGAAATCAATACTCATTTTAGACTTAGTGATGGAATGCTTCATAGTTACCAGACTGACCATAAAGCACAGGACTCCAGGTCAGCTGCAAAGGCCATAACCTTCTTTCCTTTTTCACTTTATAGTAGACATAAATGGAATTGTTCTGTTTATACTTAAATATACACGAGTATTTTATTATACAATCTGATATAAGACCATGTGAAAGTCTCATTGACCTTGCTGAGGATTATGCTGTTTGAAAGATTCTCAACTGCTCAAGAGGTAGACTTCTATAAAAATTAATCATTACTTGAAAAATGACTGATTAAAACAGATTACTGCTTTAATAAAATCACATGCCAAGGCTAGAGAAACATCCTTTCTTGTTAACATATCTTGATATACAAAGTATACTACCAGAAAAAACTTACTTTTCCTCAGATGATGATACAGTTTCTCTTGGAATGGGAATGTACCATAAGCCTGGATCAGGGTAAACTCTTGTTTTTATACAGACACAATTATATTTTTGAAACATGAGTAGCGGGCAAAGACTTCTCAACATATTCACTTGTTTCTTCATTCATCACCCATCCATTCATTAATTCACTGAATTGATATTTTCTGAGTGCCTACTACATATGCCATGCACTGTTGTAGGTTCTGGGGGTACAGCCACATAGAAAACAGACAAAAATCCCTGTACTTAAGGTATCCAATATTATCAGGATACACAAACTTACAGCTGTATAATATATTGCCACATATGAACAACTATTATTTTAGGGAAAGAAAGGAAAGAGGATAGTTCTGAAGCCTTTATTTCAGATCAGATGGAGACAGACTTCTTTGAGAAGGTGACATTTGAACAGGGATTACAATAAAGCAGGGAAACTTGTATTGCCAATACCTGAGGGAAGAATATGCAGGAAAAAACAATAGGTGAAAATGTCCTGACAGAGAACATGGCATTTATTAAGTCTGCTTCATTAAATGAAGTTTTGAGAATGGAAATAAAATACTGAGAATAATTGTAGATGGAAGTTGTGATGCTTCCTTTATCAAACAGTTATTACTCAGCTATTGGGAATTGAGAGATCAATATCTCCTAAGGCTGGGTTATGATTAGGTTCTTTATATTATGTAGCACAATTCATTAAGCCCTCCCAGTATAATATGTTTTTCCATTCAAAAAATAATATACACTGGTGTAGTATTTAATTGGTCATCTTACAGAGGCAGTAATACTCAGACTTAGAGAAAGAGCCACCAAATAGTCTGAAATTCACATACAGCTCTAGCTTGATAGTTGCAATTGTCCAATCCTTTGAAACTACCTTGACATGGAATTCTTAAACCATTGATAAAAACCTGCAAACATTTAAAGTTCTATTGAGTCTGAGATACCTTGGCCAATAATATAAACATTCTTTACTTTAAACATACATGGCATATTGTGTACATACATATATTTATTCATAACATATGTATGTAAACACATATTATATATTGGAGCAGCCATTAACATGTGCCAGTTGCCATATGTCACTCAATGTTTATTTCAACAACTTACTGTTCATCTTTAAGGAGTGCAGTTAATTGACAACTCCCAACAAATAATACTTGCAAGATCTGCTGAGGCCATGCTCTCTGGGTTTGCCCCTAGCCAATGACTAACCATGGCGTGGTCAAGGGAGGGCAGGAAGATTGGGACCTGGCCATTTTCACCCAAACAAGAACTCCTCTGATGGGCAGTCTTCACTCCAGAGCTTTCCAGAGAGGTGGCTGAGAGCCTATCAGATCTGTACTGTGGCTTGAGGCCTGTCACCCCTTTCTATCTGGATTCTTTCCTCTTTTATCACTCATAATTGCTACCTCCCAACAACTTTTTGTACCCTAAGTGCATCTGAGCATTTGTCCCCTGGAGCACCCAGCTGTCACATGTGTTTATAGATGTACATGCAAATATCTATTATTTTAGGGTAGGTAATACATTATTAAAACTCTTTTCACTTACTTATAGTATATGACTAATGCCACAAAAGGACAGACAATTATTTTGTAGTTAAATATATCCTACTTAAATGTTAAAGGGGGCTTTCATATAATGAAACATTTGACATTTGTGAATAATTTTTAATGAGAACGTCAATATATAAGGCAGCCTCAATAAAGCATTTTCCTGTAGGGTTTAATATAGGATTTGGTTTGGTTGTCATATCTAAATTGTTTATTAAAGGACCAAAAGATTCTTCTTAGAAGCTATTCTGATATTTGAGATGTCCCCATGTCATATAACTCAAGTGTCGGTGCAGGACAAATCTTTACTATGTGATATTTATTTTTATTGAATCCAGAAGTTCTCTGATTATGCAGGGATGTATTATAATTATAGTAATGTACAGTCAGCATATACATTCACAATTATAATGTGATTTTTGATAAACAAAAGTATTTTCGTTTATTAGTAAGACTTTCTATTTCTGGTACTATAGTTATCCTTCAGGATTTTTTCAACAATTTATTAAAAACTTGACTCATTGTTCAATTTCCACCTATGAGTGAGAATATGCGGTGTTTGGTTTTTTGTTCTTGTGATAGTTTACTGAGAATGATGATTTCCAATTTCATCCATGTCCCTACAAAGGACATGAACTCAACATTTTTCATGGCTGCATAGTATTCCATGGTGTATATGTGCCACATTTTCTTAATCCAGTCTATCACTGTTGGACATTTGGGTTGGTTCCAAGTCTTTGCTATTGTGAATAATGCCACACAGGAAGGGGAACATCACACTCTGGGGACTGTTGTGGGTTGGGGGGAGGGGGAAGGGATAGCATTGGGAGATATACCTAATGCTAGATGACGAGTTAGTGGGTGCAGCGCACCAGCATGGCACATGTATACATATGTAACTAACCTGCACATTGTGCACATGTACCCTAAAACTTAAAGTATAATAATAATAAATAAATAAATAAATAAATAAATAAATAAAATAACAGGAAAAGCAAAATAAATGTGACATGTCTAAAACAGTAAAATAAAACCAAAAAAAAAAACCTGACTCATTCTCAGAATAAAATTAATACAACTGAGGAAACTGTCAATTAATTGTTCTTCACTTTCAGCAAAAATGATTAAAGTCAACTGCACGAACAATTCAAGATTTGTCCTGATTATTCATTTGAAACTTCCTATTTTCCCCATGTTTTTCCATAAACGCAGAACACTTAATTAATATATTCTATACACAAAGAAATAGTTGAAATTATATGGGCAGCACTTTATTGTATAAATTTTCTTTATAGTGTCTAAGATCTACTGAACATGAAAAACATTTAACACCTCAGTCCATGAGATTAACATAAAAATTAGTGCTAATATAATGGTGAGCCATGTGGTTATATAATTTATATGTAAATTATCTCAAACTAAAAAATAAAATCAACAAAAAGTATATGTTATATTACTGAATCCAGTGGCAGAGGATATCATTTGAGGAATGCTGTTTCTACATTTTTAAATTAATTAGAAGAAAATTTAGCAATGGGAGTTTTGTTTAAAAATATAAATTATACCACGATGTAATCTAACATTTGTTTGACTAGGCAACAAAAATTTCCTGGCCTTCTCCCAAGATTATGTTATTCCTAGAAATATAAAATAATATTACTCCTTCATGTTATTCCATATCTCATGCTTACATCAAATGCAATTACTACTGCTTTTCAAGAAACAACCATGACAAGCCAATAAATAAAGTATTTTGACTTTGAGTTGGGTTCCCACTACAAATGAATTGCCACAAGAATAAATGACAAATTATTCATTTGCTATTCCCTCCCCCAAGTTTAACAGAAGCCTTAGAACCTTCAGTACATCTCAAACGCTGTAAGAGTAATTTATGATCCTGAAAGAGAACATACCCTATTGGGGCCTAAATGACCACAAACAATGAGCCATTTTATGAGTGTTAAGTAAGGAATCCAATAAAAAGGTGATTTAAAAAGCAGACATGACATCTTTGAATTAATCTTTGCTCTAACTGACAAGTAAATGCCTCTACATATTGGATATTTTTCCCCTTACAGCAAAAAAGGCAGTAACTAGTCATTTCATTATAGATAAGTTGCTTTACCACTTGAGCCTGTTTTCTCTTCCGTAACATAAAGAGGCTGTATCAGAGGTGGTCTAGTTAACTATATTCAGGGGTCAGGCACTGAAATGAGTGGGTCACTATAAATTAAGACAAAATACTGCTTTGAGCTATTTTGTTTTTTTTGGTTGTTTTTTTTGTTTGTTTGTCTTTTTTTTTTGAGATGGAACTTTGCTTTTGTTGTCCAGGCTGGAGTGAAATGGCACAATCTTGGCTGACTGCAACCTTTGCCTCCCAGGTCCAAGTAATGGTCCTGCCTCAGCCTCCCAAGTAGCTGGGATTACAGGAGTGCGCCACCACGCCTGGCTAATTTTGTATTTTTAGTAAAGATGGGGTTTCACCATGTCAGCCAGGCTTGTCCCAAACTCCTGATCTCAAGTAATCCACCCTCATCAGCCTCCCAAAGTGCTGGGATTACAGGCATGAGACACCGTGCCTGGCCTATGCAAGAAATTTTATGTAAGGGCATTGACATTCCAAACGATTATTAAAACCCATGTGAAATATATTCGCTCCACAACCCTCCAAAGCTCCCAAATTTCAAATTTTGGACCAAATTATCTCGAAATTCTCTCAAGCCTCTTCAATCTCTAAGAAGCAATCTAAAAAAGCCCTGATAATGTGAACCATTAAAATCAATATAACACAGGCACAAGATAGTAGAGGGGATTAATGCAGAAAATTATTTCTTACTATTTACTGAGTCCTGTTAGAGAATTGCATATCAATGTTTCTATTCTTTCATCTGGTCTCTAAATCACCCAAGTATCACTCAACGCTACATCTTCCAAGAAAAAAAAATAACTCAGATATTATGGGAAGAGAGCCAAAAACATCCCAGCTCATAGCCTAATACACACATTTATTGGGAACCTACTATGTGTAAGATACTGTCCCAGGCATTTGGGATAAATCAGATAACAGCACTGACAAAGATTCCTGCCCTTGTGGGGCTTATACTCTGCAGAGACAAACAAGGAAACAATCATTAAACTTTAAGTAATTCGTGTATATATTAGAAAATGGTGTGTGCTATGGTTTTCTAAAAAATAAACAAGTAAAAGGGATTGGGAGGGTGGGAGACAAGTGGCAGAAGGTTGAAGTATCTAATAGAAAGGTTCAGAATTGGCCAGGCGCAGTGGCTCACACCTGTAATCCCAGCACTTTGGGAGGCTGAGGCAGGTGGATCACTTAAAATCAGGAGTTCAAGATCAGACTGGCCAACATGGCGAAACGCTGTCTCTACTAAAAATACAAAATTAGCTGGGTGTGGTGGGGCATGCCCATAGTCCCAGCTACTCAGGAGGCTGGGGGCAGGAGAATCGCTTGAGCCCGGGAGGTGGAGGTTGCAGTGAGCCAGGATTGTGCCACTGCACCCCAGCCTGGGCGACAGAGCAAGATTCTGTCTCAAAAAAAAAAAAAAATTCAGAATAGACTCAGTGAGGTCCAATTTGAGCAATGATTTGAAAGATGTAAGGGATTTAAGCATCTGAAAGAGGCACTACAGCCAGCGCCCTGAGATGGCAGGAAGTGTCCTGAGCAAAACTGCAAGAGGTCAGTGTGAGAGAAGGAGACAATAAAAGGTCTGAAAATTCTCCTAGAAACCATTAACACTGTGCATTTTAGCTACTATATGGATTTTCATTCTAAGTAACTGTTGAAATGAGGTATCATGGCTAACAGCAACTGCTTTGGTGTTAAGCAGCTCTACTGTTTATCAGCTTCAGTGTCAAGTTGCTTAATCTCTGTGCTTCACCTAACAAATAAGTATAATTGCAGTATAAGTACCACGTAGGACTGGTTATGAGGATAAATGAGATTAATGCCAAACGTCGTACTGTGACTGGCATAGAGAAACCGCTCAATAAATTGTTTTCTCTGAACTTGCTACTTTCAACACAAAATTTTTCTCAAACAATGAGTATCAGTGATACCAGGACCATTCTAAAACTTATCTCCAACATCTATGCTCAGAATGATGAATCAATTAACCAACAAACCTCTACTATGTGCAAGGGATTATTTTAGGTGCTGAAGGGATACAAAGAATTTAAAATGCATTCCTTGATATTAATAAGAACATGATTTAAGTGAAGAAATAAAACATACACATAAAAACATAATTTAATATTCCTATCAATAAAAAGGAATAAAGTACTGCATCTGCACAAACACATTTGGATGACTCTTAAACTCACTGTGCAGAAATGAAGAAGCCACACACAAGAGCACATACTTGGTGATTCCAATTAAACAAAATGAAGACTATTCTATGGTGACAAAAGGAAGATCAGTGGTTGCCCAGATCCAAGGGAAGGTGTGAGAATGGTTTATAAAGGAGTATAAAGAATCTTCACAATCTTTGGAAATGTTCTGTATCTTGGTTGCAGCATTGTTTCACAAGTGTAAACAATTGTCAAAATTCATCAAAGTGTGCACTTTAAATGGGTTCTATTTACTGTATTCCTCCATAAAATTGATGATAGCAAAAACAAAACATAATAGTCATAATTGATCAGAATGGATTGAATAATCACTACAGTATATCTTCCACTATAGTTTGAACTAGAAAATTACAGGACAAGTTTAGTTTAGATATGCCAGGTCACACAATAATTTCCAGATATTTCTTGAATTGCATTAGGTCTAGAAATTTTGTTAAGCTTGAAGATAAAGTTCTCCTATTAAGTTGTCATTAGTTGTGGCTCTATTCAGTCAATGTCTGAATAACTTTATGTCACTGTTTCTTTGTTTCTATATGAAGAATCCTTTCATCTTCAAACTTTTTCCTCAAAAATTTTCTTTTTTTATACAGTTCATTCCCTCTTAGGACTGTCCCTTGCAGAGATTTCCAACACTTTCTTACTGCTTTCAATGTAACTATCAAAGATTTTAACTGCAGTTTTATTTTTTAAATATGGGCCATTCTGGCTTCTATCTGTAGCCCTTTTCCAAAGATGTATAAGAGAGGAAGTGGCATGTCTAACATGTCTAATCTTAAAAAGGACACACTTTTCAAAGAGTTTTATTTTCAAAGTTATCCTACTATTGGTTACCAATAATTATAACACATTTTTATGAAATGTCAAATAAAAGACATGCATATATCCGTAGGGAGGTAGAAAATGAAACGGGATATTGTGCTCTTCCTAGGATTCAACTTTGCTGTAATATTCTATGAGGTTATCATTCAATTGTTCTACAATCTAAATTCCCACATTTCAAAAATTTAATTTTCCTATGAAATTAATTGCTTAATATAAAAAGCACATTTATAATTTATTCTTCAGAAATGAATGCTTTGAAAATACATTTAAATAAGTGTTGATGGACATCATTAACAGTGAAATATAATTAAAAGAGTAAATTATTTAGTTGGGTTTTTTTAACCAGAATAAAAGATTTCTATGGAAGCTTTCTGTTCAGAATATTAAATGCCTAAGAAGTCATACTAGATTTTGAATGTAGTACCTATTCTGGAAAGCAAATTCAGGATTCTTGCCGACAGATTAAAAATTATTTCCTAATATAGATGACTCAAAGAAATACCTGTCAAACAGAGAGTTAAGACTTCTGAATGCAGACACAGCTTGAAAAAGAAGATGATGTATTTTCCATGGAGCATTTGCCGAAGAACTATTCAGCAGAGACATAAATAATTAAAATTAAACTACAGTCGCTAAAATAAATGAACGATATTCTGAAGCAATAGGTTGACTTTTAATCCTGATTTTCACTTACTTCCAAGCTCACAAAATTTAACCATCTGCAGCAAATCGCCACATCAATAATTTGAATTAGCCGGATTCCACCGTAATTTCTGAAGTGCACCTCACTCCAATTTCCAATGCAGTACAATTGAAAACGTTATCAGATAAAACTGGTTGCAGAAGGCTTGGAACATTAAATGCTTTGACAATGACAAATAGAATAAGGTGAGATGTGTCTTAAAAGGAGGGTCTTCCCACTACACTGTGTTTATTCAATTTTAGGGACACCCTCTGCCACATTAGAGGCCTTTTCATTTTCTTCTCTCCAGACAAGGATTAGTAGATGTGGGCCCTGCTTCCCCCAGGTTTATATTACTGTATAAGGGTAACCCTGTGAAGTAACAAGATTACCAGAGAGAAAATTTTTTAAAAAATTTAAAAAAGGGGGTAGATTATGTCAAAGCCTTCCTTGAAGAGAGAGTTAATTTGTTTTTTTCTAATATTTTGCAGGATGTATTAAAGAAAGTCTGTAGAAAGACAAGCAGGGAAATGTGACAACAGACTATACAAAGAATTTATAGGTTCTTATGACATTATTTTTCTTTGATGTAACCCCATGTTGGTGATGTTATAGAACTTTTGATATCTGGCAGAATTATGTCAAATACATGAACTGCAGTTTAAGAAGCATAAACGTCAGGTTGTTGAAATCTTCCACATCAAACTAATTAGAAAGAATTTTTGAATGTGAATTACAGCAGTTTATTAGACGTCATGGGAGATACAGAAGATGTACTGATATTAGGCACACAGAGGTATTTTAAAATATGTAATAACTGAAGAGACAAGACATGAAATATACCAAAAGGGATTTTTTTGTGTGTAAATTAAGCATCTAACCATAAAATAATCAGAGAATTAATCAATCTAGAGTAACATGAATATTATCAAGAGAAGGCTGAGCAATACAAATAAAAGAAATAATATCTCCCCATGGCTACTCACAAGAAATTAAACCTTGCTGAATGTCAGTTTCCCCTTTGTGACAGGGATCAGCCTAAAGGCCTAGTGTCCACAACATGTTGGACAATGTGGGATTTTTAAGTGCATAATAGATCCCAATCCTTTAAATCTCCAAACCTCACCATATCCTATATCACATTACACTTCAACTCTCCAGTGGAAGGGTAAGTATCTGGGAGTTCACCCTTTAAGGACAGTAGTTCTAGAACCCGTAGTATGTACTTGGGATCAGCCTCTAGTTGAGGTTATTAGGTCTAAGTCAGTTTTACTTTCTATTATAAGCATATTTGTCAGTATCAATTAAACAAACCCTCTCACTTGGGTAAAATATTTAGAAAACGGAAGGCATTTCAGGTGGGAAGGCGGGTACAAGTAAGAAAATAGAATTGGAAACAAGTATGGCTTACTCAAGATAGCATGAACAGACCTACTTGTCAGAGTGAGGATTAAAAGTAAAATTATTAAATAAATAGGGCTCTTCAATAGTAGGAAAATAATGTGGAGGAGCCTGTAATTGATATGACAGGTAATAAGGGAACATTTGCACATTTCTGAGCAACGGCATTCCGTGATGTTGTACAAGCCAGAGAGAGTGAAACCTAACTAAGAGAAACCAGCTAAAGCAGCTGGCAGGAATGATGTAATGCAAGAACGAGGTGATGAGCGCTACCTGGATTAGACTGAGCTCACTGGAGGTAGAAAGGAAGAGATGGTTCTCCTAAGAATCAAGAAAACTGAACTCATATTGAATTACCTCTTCAATTCTCTCAAATGTCATGCTGCCAGTGAAGGCCTTACCTGACAACCTCATGTAAAAATTAAACCTCCTTTTCTCATCGGTACACTCCTGTGTCCCATTCACTGATTTTTTTCTCTATAGAAGGTATCACTATCTGACACACTATTTATCTGGCTTTTGTTGTTTTTGTTAATGCTTGTTTCATACCATTAAAATGTGAGTACCATGATCCATGATTTTCATCTGTTCATTTCCCTGTTCCCCTGAGCCCACAAGAGGGGATTCAATAAATTTGAACTGAGTGAACAGAATGAATTAATATCCAATAAAGAAAACAAAGATGAGGCTGGGCACGGTGGCTCACACCTGTAATCCCAGCACTTTGGGAGGCTGAGGCGGGCGGATCACAAGGTCAGGAGATCGAGACCATCCTGGCTAACATGGTGAAAACCAGTCTCTACTAAAAATACAAAAAAAATTAGCCAGGCATGGTGGGAGGCACCTGTAGTCCCAGCTACTCAGGAGGCTGAGGCAGGAGAATGACGTCAACCTAGGAGGTAGAACTTGCAGTGAGCCGAGATTGCGCCACTGCACTCCAGCCTGGGTGACAGAGCGAGACTCCGTCCCCGCAAAAAAAGAAAGAAAATAAAGATGAGAAAACATTAATTATGCTTTCAAAGTTCCCCACCTGGCGTTCTGGTACAAAGTTATATACAAGCAAGAACTTCATTAAAGGATCTCAAATAAATCTTACAATCTTAAAAGGAAAGTTCAACAATAGTTCGATATCACGTGACACTAAGAAAAAAATGTGATTTGACCAGTAGGTAATCAAAAACAGACTAAACAACAATCCAAAGAAACTGCCAATAGTCCACAAGTTCTTCAGTAAATGTGAATTATAGCAATAATGTGCTAATTTGTATTCACTAAATAGGTTTTCAAGCTTTCAAAATGTTTAAAAATGTTTTCATTTATCATTGCAACACGCATGGCGAATGGAAGATGGAGACACTAAGGAGTTAAATAACCTCCCATATGCTGTCCTTCCATATTAATGAATAGAACATTACTTGCTTCTATACCAAACTAGAATTTGGTGGGAAAGTCATGAAGTTCTCCAAAGCAAAGTTAGAGCCATTAGATTAAGAAAGTGAGTGTAATAATGTACTATTTTTTTCCTTTAGAAAAGCGTAACCTCAATTGGCCATTGAGAAGGATGGCTTTATTAGATGATGAGGAGTCTGAAATATCATTAATTCACTCATCAGCATCTAGAAATATTCTTTAACCAGGGCAAGACAAAGAAAATGCATTTATTCTCAGCAATATTCATTATACCAAAACATTTATTCATTTTGCTTAGAATCACTGAAGTAAAAACAGACACAAATTAGAAAAAAAATAAAGCAAATGTTGAATCACATTCTGAGTTTAGAATAGAAGAAGAACAAAAACAAGTTTTCTCGGGAACTGAAAAAAAAAAGAGGTCATAAATATTAATGTACTAGATCTACATAAAAAAATTCTAAATGCAGGATTTTCATAACTCTAAACCAGAAATCATTTTAGCTTATCTTGGAAAACACTACCAGTGAAACAACTTAATATCAGTTAATTTTGTTTTCTAATTCAATTTGTGAGACAGCACTGGATGTATTGAGAAACAGTACATCTCCTGATCTTCTAAGATACCATGTAACTTGGGAGTGCTGAGAATATATTACAGCACCCTGGTAAAAACCCATGCATGGTGTAGTTTGACCTTAGTGGGGAGCTTTAGCTTTCACCATCAGGTTCTGACTTGCTATTTCCTTACTGTGTAATGTGAAAAAGTTTTTATCTTGGTTATTTTTTCTTATCTGAAAAAAGGAAGTCAAATGTCATTGTCCCTTTATCTCAGATAGTTATTATAACAGATAAGAAAATGCTTTTTACAAGTCAAAAATGAATTAATAGATTAATTTAATGTATTATTCTATAAGTTTACCTAAATCAGAACTACTACTACTGTTACAATTAGAAAATGATAAGGAAGGGAAGAGGAAGTACATTTAGAAAACTGCTTTTACAAACCAAAAACAAGTATTTATGAATAAAAGATGAAGCTGCTGAGAAAAGTAGAAAATTACAATAATATCACTTTATTCAAGAAGATATTGGGCATGTATTCCCAACCAGCACCAATATATTATTTTTCAGAGATAATGTTACCAGGAAGAATAAAGCTATGTTTATTTAGACAGGGCCAGAACTTTTTTTAAAAGATAAACTAAAATAAGTAAGATACTGGAATTGATTTGAGGACCCTTTGCAATCTCTTTATGTTCTCTGCTTTCTAGGTATTCACTACCAGACCTCGCCAACCTAAATTTTAACTCTCTCTTTAGTCTTGTTGACCAAAATGACTTTTCTTCAATCTAAACCATACTGAAGCTGAATTCAATCTAACTATAGGAAGACATTAACATGGTTCAAATAAAGCTTTGCATAATAACTGTTTCTATTATGTTGATGGTCTTGGAGGTAACTAACTGTTAATTCATCTTTAACTGAAGAATTATTATAGAAGTATTCTGGGGGAGGTGTTTTTTTGTTTTGGTTTTTGTTTTTTGTAGTGACATGTGCTCTCAGTGTACCACAATATCATAGCCCCACCCCCACAACATACCTTATGGGCCTTGTGCATAAGCATTCTGTAAATTATAACACAGGATAAAATGGGGCTTACTTGTATCTTCTCCTAATGGAAAGCCTCTCCTTTAGTTGTGAAAACTTGAAATTATTTCCTCTCAATACGTCCTTAGGCAAAGGGAGCTGTGTTGGCAAAAGCCAGAGAGAGATGATGCTTGGCTCAGAGCTGAATGGCTCAAAGGTACTTTCAGGATAAAATTGAACTTCTGTGATTTACTCATTTGAAATAATGAGATTTGGAGTGTTCTAATATAATCCACAAATACAAGACAGTAAGATCTGAAACGCCGGCTGTAGCCCTGAGATTAATAACCTCTAGCAGTAGTTATCAAATATTTTAAAATAAGAGACCCTTCCTTTATAGACAATCATGGGAGAAAGCCCAATGTTAAAACAGAGAAAAGACTATGTCTCTGCTGGAATCAGGGCAAGGGCTCCAAGTCCTGCTCTTTCCGCACTCTTAAGCCCCAGCAGTGGTCCTCAGGTCCCTCCCCAGAACCCTTAGGCTCAGTAAGGCATGACCTGAAATCCATTAGCCTTACATAATTCTGTGAAATTTAGAACTGAAGAATCCAGTTTGTTCCATAACAGCAATTTGACTGAAATACATGAGACAAGTTAGAGTGGCCAGGCCAGAATACTAGAAATTAAAGTATAATAATAATTTTAAAAAATGACATAAAATAAAGCTGGTAGCTTTCACCCTAGGCTTCCTTGCAGCCCCACTCTCTTTCTACTAGGTCTTGAAATTTAGAAAAGGTATCTTGAAATCCCTAAGTATTAAATAGTCCATACGTGAATTTTACAAATGTATCCAAGTTCATATTTGGGAACATAAACGATGGTAAAATGGTTCTCTTCTAAGTAGGGAATGGGACCGTGTGGAAACTTGTGAGGGGATGTCAGAGGTAGTGCAGTAAACTGCTGATGCAATACAAGGAATGTCCTTTTCTGTGCTAGAGCTAACTCTCCCATTTACCAGTTGATTAACTTTACGCAAAACACTTGTTATTCAGTTTCTCCATCCATGAAACAACCTGTCTGCATTAAATGATCAGACCTTTCTTTTTAAAAAGATTACTAATCTGTATTTTATCTAGATACATAATATTTTTGCTGAGTTGAAATAAACTTTCTTAATTTTCATATTCCCTTTTCATTATAATCTCTATCCTGAGAACCATATTCATATTTTCATCACTGCTGAATGTTGTCTCCCTGGATGTCTTCTTAGAACTTGATCTAAGATGAATGTTATTCTCCCACAGGCACTTTCAGAAGCATAATCCTTCTGGGTACTTATATCCAGGCTCTTCAAGTCGCCTTCAGTTCTTTCCTTTCACTTCTCACATCCAATTCAACTACTCCAATGTCTTCATTCATTCATTTTTTTTATTATCTACTTTGTGATTTGTCCCACTGAAAGAACAAGACCCAGGCCATGTCCTAATGAAATTGTAAATCTAGTTTCTCATGTTTGGTCCTTTCCTTCTTTTCCTCATATTATCATCACAGTTCAGCCCACTTTTATCTTAACGTTTTAAACAACCTCTTAGCTTATTCACCTTCCTCTAATGATCCCACCTTTCCTCAGCACTGTAATTTGGAATTCACTCTGCCATTAAGATGTCTTTTTAAAGTGGGACTCTGATAATGGCAGCATCCATCCCCAACCCTCTGACACACACTGTGTGTTGACTGCAAAATAAGTTTATAAATCCAGGGTTATAAATGCAGCTATTTAAGGAACCTGGTAAGACACATAAATGTGTGAGTCTGGTTAGGGCACACAGTAGGGAGTAAGAGAGCCTAGGGAAAATTTGGAGAGGCTATGTGCTGCCCAGTGACTTTCAAATTCAATTAAAAATAACTACATCTATGAACCAGAAAGCTACCAATTCTTTCATTCCAAACCTCCCTTGCAGCCACATTTGTGTTGCAGCCACACAACATCCCTCACTATAATCATGCTTTGCTTGAAGCTGTTCCAATATTTCTAATGACACTGTTCTTTCTTTCAGGTGTCCTCTTTCCCAGTGAATCTATCCTCATTTCTCATCTCTTCCCTGTCAGCTACCACTTATCCAAGCACTTTTTTTCCAGTAAGAATTCATCTCTTGCTCTCCTATATGGTCATTATATTTTATATTTTACATATTTATAAACATGACATATGTATTTATGTTCCACAAAGGGCTTTGAATAGAATTTACACATAGAGTTCCCTGGGTTGATGTGTTTATCAAAATGGAAGATAAAGTGAATTAATTACTTAAATATTTAACACTATTGAATAGAAATAACTTCCCCAATATTGCTTCATGATTTAGACAGTCTATTAAATGTTTAAGCAAGGCACTAGACTAAGTTTATTAAGACAAATTTTGGAATATGTGCAGAAATATGACCTGGCTAATAGTACAGAGTCAAAGCTGGTTGAATGGTGTTATATAGTGGATTCAGATTGATGTGGCAGTGGTGGTTACACTAGGGGCACTAAGGTTATCCCTACTGGCACTCTGAGGACTCTATTCTCTACCACACTTTTTTCCATTAAAAATACCAAGTAGATTAATATCATATTTGTAGATAACACAGGGATAGAATTACATACGAGGAGAAAATATAGCTTACTTATATCCATGTACTAAAATGGAAATCAGAAGCATTTCTCTTCCTTTGACTCCTCATCTCTACTTTCTCTTCAGTAATCCATACTATAAATGACATCACCATTCACCTAGAGTCTTCTCATGAAAATCTGGGAAGCAGTCTTGACTCCAGTCGTGCCCACATCTTTGTAACTAATCAACCAACAAACCCATAGACCCTAACTCCTTAGCACATATCAAATCTATTACTTATTTTTCACCTCTGATGTTAGGAAAATAGTGTAAGCTTCTGGTATCTTTCTTGACTAAATAATTGTTGCTATGCTGTTTTCTTATCTTTGGTTCTGCATTTTTTAAATCTGTTCTCTTGCCAGAATAATCTTTTGAAACAACCAATCTGATCCTGTTCCTTAAGTCTTTCCATCATCTTGACCTTTATCTGTTTCTCCAGTTTCATCCTTTAGGTTCCCTTGTTGCATTAATACTCAATTGCTTGCAACCTGCATTTCTCTTACATACTTACATTATGCTTCTGCCTGAAATGTGTCTACCTATGCTAGACAAATATAATGGCACCACAATGATGTATAAATCTTAATCTCCAGAACCTGTGAATAGGTTGGATTACATGTGGATTACATGTGTTGCGGCTCAGAACATACCCCAAAGTATGGCACCCTGGCATGCTGAGTACTTGGAACTGAAGGAAATTGGAAAAGCCTCAGAAACAAGGTCTCTGACCTTTTCCTGCCCTCCTCTCTCACACCCCTCTTTCTCCCCAGAAGCAAGTCATAGCAACCAGAATTGCATTTCTCCAAGGTCTGTCTAGAAACTAAAAGTCTTCTCCCCTAAAGTAAGCCATAAAATGTAGAAAGGTCACTCTCTCCCTTTTCCCTTGAAGACTCTCATTGCCCTATACTCTGGAGGGAAAAATGCTACAAAGAGAAGAATCTGAAAAAAACCAAAAAACCAAAAAAAAAAACAAAAAAATAAACCAACCTTTCTGGATTTCCCCCCTCAGTCTATTACCATTAGATTATACTCTTTTGTCCAATCACATTTCTACATGGCGGTTCATTCTTCACTGAAACTCAGTATAAAAAGTACACAGTTTTCCCTGGGTATTTGGGTCTTCAACTCTGAAAGTGCCTGTGTTACATGAAACTTTGATTAACTAAGTTTGTTATACTTTTCTCTTGTTAATCTGTCCTTCATTACAGCAGTGTTGGCTGTGACCTTTACGAAGGGTGAGAAAAAGATGCCCTTATTCTTTTTGCCCTTAAAGATAGCAAAGGCAATTAAGGTTGAAGATGTTAATTACGTTTGCTAATCAGCTGACCTAACTATAGGGTAAGAACCCTGGACCCAATGTTGTCACAAGCTCCTTACAAGTGGAAGAAAACAGCAGAAGAGGAGTCAGAGGAAAATGTGACTACAGAAGAATGGTCTGAGAGATGCAAGGTTACTGGCTTTGAAGATGAAAGAAAGGAGTCACCAGCCAAGGAATATAGGCAGCCTCAAAAAAGATAGAAAAGGAAGAAAGCAGATTCTTTGCAAGTGCTTCTAACAGAAATGCACCATTGATGACAAATCAAATTTACCCCAGTGGGATCCATGCCAGACTTCTGACCTACAGAAGAGTGAGATAATACATTCACGTTGTTTAAGCTATTACATTTGTAGTAATTTGTTATGGCATCAATAGAAAACTAATACACTACAATGTCACTCTAGCCAACACTCATCACTCAACAAGACTCAGCTAATGAAGAATGTTGGTTTCTGTAAATAACTTATATTACAGGGCTTTTAACTATTGATGAGACTTCCATGTAAAAATGTATTCACCTACTGAGCTATAAATCCCTCTAGAACAAATACCAAGCCTTATTTATGTTTGTATTCACAGCATCTTGCATAGGACCCTTAGTAGATAATTTACTACTTTTAATGATTGAAGGTAGAATTGAATAGTAATGTTTCATGTTTTAAAGTGGGCTGACAACATCAACTCTTGAGTAGAGTACAGAAAGGCTGACTTATGAGCAGTTCATGTGGAAAAACTTAGAGATTTCAACTGACTAAAAGTTCAGTATGAATTGATAAAACAGTAACACTGACAAAAATACATACACACATTCACACATACACACACACACACACACACACAACCACACCCCTACCTTTGATTTTAGATGGCATTAACAGAAGTATTATTTCCAAAACCACAGAATGCTTCCATTTTACTATGCCTTGCTCAGATACCCAGGGATAGTATAATTAATTTTAGACTTGGCTTTAAGAGGTATCCTGACAATTAGAGCATGCCAAGATTAGGAGAAGGAGACAACCAGCAAAGAGATGGTAAGGTCTTCAGCACTGTGAAGGATGGTTTGAAAGAACCAAAAAATAAAATATGGAAGAGAAAAAATCTGAATTTGGGTATAGGAGTTGCTATGGTTTGAATGTGTTCCCCAAATTTTGTGTGTTGAAAACTTAATCCTCAAATTAATACGCTGACTGGAAGTGGGTCCTTTAGGAGGTAATTAGGATTAGATAAGGTCATCAGTATGGAGCCCCCTTCATGGGACAGGTGGCTTTAAGAAGAGGAAGAGAGACCTGAGCTGGCAGGGACTCTCTTACCCTCTCACCATGTGATGCCCTCCACATGTTATGATGCAGCAAGAAGGCCCTCACTGGTTGCTAGTGCCATGCTCTTCGACTTCCCAGCCTGCAGAACTATAAGAAATAAACTTATTTTCTTTATAACTTACACATTTATGGTATTTTCTTATAGCAACAAAAAATAAAGATGGGGTGGAGAAATATATTTATAGAAAGTATTTTTTTAAGTAAATGAGAAATTAGACATAATGTTTTTAACTCTAGAGAAATTGAAAACAGAGCACAGCACATCGGATAAATTCAATAACTATCTTAAGAATCAGCAAAACAACATGCAGATGGCTGATTGGCAATAGTTTCAGTAGGCAGATTTTGATTAAAATAAAGAAAAACTTTTTAATAATTAAACCTCTCCTTAAAACATTATGACTTTATGAGGTAACAAGGTAACAAGTACAGCCTTCTGAAAGCATAAACAGCGTTTACATCATCACCCATTACTTAACTAGCAGAGGAGTTTGTTTGAATAGGCATTTGGACTAGGAGACTTCTAAAGATTTTGTCAAATTTGTGACTTCATTATTTGTTAATTAAGTCCCTCTCCATTCTAAAGCAATTTCTGTGATTTTTCTGATTGTGGTAGACTTCACAATTATACTGATTTAAAACACATTACCATGTACTTTCTGGCTCCTAGTAAATTGCTATTCACTTAAGTGTTATCTCTGAGTCCTAAAGTGTTAACAGACCTACCAAATTATGTGAGGAATCTCGCCTTCCCCCACACCCCAACAAGCTTAATTTTCTCTTGAATATTTATCTCACTCTCTCATAACTTTCATATAATTTCAAACTCTCCAAAACACACCCAAAAAGGGAGCTGAAGGACAGGAAGGGATTATATATTTTTTCCATGGTATATTCTCTTCTAATGCAGAAAGGCAATTAGGCAAAACAAGTTAAAAGCAAGCTAAGCTTTTTCTTCTTGAGCAGTGTAGAACAAAAGGCTTTATCTGATTTATGCTAAAACTAGTTCATTGCAAGCAGGATCTTAATACCCTAATCAAAGAAATTTAAAAATAAATTAAAGAAAACATCTCACCTTTGTTACTTAGAGGCAAAAATTACGACAAAATTATTTCCTGGTCAGCATTCTTAGACTAGCCTCAGCTATTTTTTTTTTCTTGAATTAAGAATAATGAAAATCACCATAAAATGAAACAAAAAAAATGTATCACAAAAATATTTTGCAATTCTCTTTCTGCCCCCTTCCATTTTACTTCCTTTCTCAACATTTGGGATTTAATGAGCTTTAAAAATATGTATACAAAGGATAACTGTCTTTGACTTTTTTGATCTTTCCTCCATGTAGTTTGTGATTTAAAAAGTTAGTTGTTTCCTTTGAAAATTAATTTTATTTGACTCATCATTAGACACCCAATACTCTGCCACATGTTCCACTATTGTGCATTCACTATTCACTAGAAATACATTACACACTTTACCGATATTCATATACTTCATCCCCATAGCTAAAAGAGATTTTTAGATTTTACTATCTGTGCTTTACAAATGAGACAAATGAGTTTCAAAGAGGCCAGATAACTTTCCCAAAGCCACACAGCAGATACATCATGAATCTAGGGTCTAAATGTGGGTCTACTTAACTCCAGTCTCCATGATCCTTGGCTATGCTTGTGCAACAAGATTTCCTCAGCATCTTTCATGTACCAAGCTCTACCCTTAATTCAAAACTGAAAATATCAAAGCCCCTGCCTTCAGGGGTATCACATTCTAACAACAGTGACTGACCAATAATAAATGCAATCCAGCTAAAGAACTTTATAATAGAGGTAAATATTAGGTATAATGGTGTTCCTAAAAAAAGAATAATCCACCTTTCCTAGTTTGGGGTAGGAGTGCCAGTGTGCGCAATGACTGAATATATACTGCTAACAGCTAATCTTTGACCAAAAAAGTAAGATTCAGTCTATCATTGGATTCTGCTTCCTCTATAACTCCAGGAATCAGCCATGCCAAATGTGCTAAGGGCTTCCAACTCTGCACAGATCTCACTGGGGCTAACTCAAGGGCTGGACAATGCCATCTGACAAGTTCCACTGACATTAAAAAATACTTGTCTGGTGTCCCCTATCATCAAATCCCTCCTTAAGAACAGATACATCAGTTAAAATTATGTGGCACTTTCAAATACTATCATCATGATTTATTGCAACAGATGGGACCACTGAGAGATTTATCTTTGGCAAGGGGATAATTTTTGGATCCCCCTCAAATCACATGCAATATGTAACCATCTATGAATAGAGCTTCCCTAGACCCTAAAGTTGCCCTCTCAGGCTGCTGTCATTACTCTTTCACATCTATTTCTACTTGGAGAAATGAGTAACACCTTGCTCTTGCAGTGACAACATTACAATCTCGTGTTCTTGTCCCCATAGGAGCTTGACCTTATCACCCTCATCACTCTCTCCCTGCTTTTTCTTGTATTCACACTAATCTTTCAACCACTTCCTTTATAGTTTTTTTTTTAAATCTTACCATACATTTCCATATAATTTCTATACCTGAGTCTGTCATTTCTGAATGTCTAATAAGAATACTGTCTATTATTTTTCAGTAGAATCCATGGACCAAATTTCTACCCCAATAAAGCCTGAATTTTGTACATACAACATATTCTTGTTTTATTTAATGGTTCTTTCTCCACAATTTCCAGAAAAAAGGGTCATTATCATCATCCTTTTCCATTGCATCAAGATATATTTGTGCCAGATTTTAAACGTGAGCTCAGTATTTGCTGTTTAGCTTTTCCTTGTCTGGATCCTTTTTCCATTGTACATTATTGAGAATGATCCTAAAACATATTACAAAGTGTCCATAGGTGGGCATTACATACAAAGTTTAAAAGTTGCCACATATTCAATTTGATTTTTGTTTTGTCTTTTTGTAAAGCACATGGTCTGAACTCTACACAATGAAAATTTTAATGACCTTTACAACAAGATTTGAAAGAGCTCAGTGACATCTTTACTAATGTGAAAACTGACAATTTAGTTTCAGGGATGAAGGGTAGATCTAATAGAATAACTACATTTTTTTTCAGTCCTTTCATAATGGAGCAACTTCTTTTAAAGCAAGTTAATAATTATTCTTTTTATTATCAAAAAAAGTCTTTCAATGCAGAAGCATTATGAGGTGAGTTATCAAGTTGTACATGTCACTGCAAGGAAAAAACAAAAATCCTCACCATGAAGATTAAGTCCTCAGCTTTTGGAGGTCAAAGGTCAAATCAATGAGTTGATAGCACTAGTCACAAAGTGACTGGGCATTAGATCTTCTGGGGGAAGGAGTGATCTCTTTTAAAGTACAGGATGCCAATCTGCCATAACCTAGTGAATAAAATCCTCTGTTAAGTTCCTTGAAAAATCTCTATTTTAGAAAATGCATCCCAGGTGATTGTGGGAGTTCCTCAACTTCAGAATTTAGGGAAGCTCTATACATAGAGGGTTACATATTGCATGTGATTTAAGATGGTACCAAAAATTATCCCCTTGCCAAAGATAAATCTCTCAGTGGTCCTGTCCTGTTGCAATAAATCAAGATGATAGTATTTGAAAGTGCCACATATTTTTAACTGATTTATCTGTTCTTACACAGGGAATTGATGACATGGGACACTAGACAAGTATGTTTTAATGTGAGTGAAACATGTGAGTAACTGCTCTGGGCTGTCCCTCTGAGAACTACTAGGTAGAACAATAGTAATGATCTCAAGGTTTGCACTGATGTTTGAGCAACTGTTCAGATGTTCTGACAGGGAAGTGAGCTACTTGAACATGTTTGATTAAAGAATGGTTCTCCTATGGGCTTTCTCTCTATTCAGGGAATAACATGCTTAAAGTAGTTAAACAAAAAAAAAAAAGAAAAAAAAAAGAAATAAACTGGAACCTAGCCTAATAACTGGCATTCGTTCTATAAATAATGAGGACAAATGCCAAACCAAAGAGTCCTCACATTCATCAGTCTAGGTGTTGGCTTTCTTTGGGATCAATCAGCTTCTCTCTTCTTCCACCTCATTGGTCAGTGCAAATCCAACTGCTCTTTAAGACTCTTAACTTCAGCCAGTCCTCTGGAAAAGAATGCCACTGGTCACTGAAAGTACCGATGGGTCAGTGTAAATCCAACCACACTGCTGAGAAAACAATTCAAAACGCATTTCTGCTGACTGCCAGACAAGGTATTGTTTTATTTAAACAATAAACACCTGAAAGACAGCTGTTAAAAGCCATCACATCATTCTTTTAGGTCAGTATAGCATCAAACATTATCTGTTCACTGAGTTTAGAGGAAGATTTCTGGCAGATTTTGCTACTAGCAATCTATGAAATCCTATGGCTAACTTGTGAACTAGGGTTTCCCTGTGAAATGGAATCACAATTGGACAATTTAGGGATTTCCATCCCTCTAGCAGCAGTTTAGCCCAATCTAAATTTGATTGTTTCCTTAAATGGAGTAATTTAATTTTCTCCAAATGTCTACAGACTTTATAATGCCAAGTCCAGAAAATGAAAGGGAAAACTGGGTCAGTTTCCCAGGTAACTCAAGCCAAAGAATAAAATATTGCTTTGAAATTCCTTATAAAGCATAAGTTGTTTTAATTTTCTGAATTATCTTATTCATTGTCTCAGTAGTGTAATTGTATAGTCTATACCTGGGTTATGCAATAAAATAGTATTTTAAACATGAAAGAAAATATTAGTCTCAGTTCATAGTTCTTTGAATATCCCTGCATTTTACCTGTTTGAAAGTTAACACGAATAATTAATAGAGAGTACTTCAGCTGCTCCTATTGTGAATGGACTATCATGGGGTCGTAGGTACATGGCAAACAAGCCAAACAGAAAGGGAGAACTGCAGTTTTGTGCAATAGGCATTTATATAAGTAGGTATAATATGAATGCAAAAGAATACATCCCGAAAATGGTAGCTATTATTATACATGTGGCTACATTTCTTAATATAAACCGTGAAAACAACCATTCTGAAAAGCTGTGCCTTTACACCACATGTAACAGTCCCACATAAAGCAGAATCTCCTTGGTGATTACAGTAATAATGACTACGATTGAATGAAACCCTTTAGCTCTCACTCTCTTTTCGAAAGGACAAGTAATAGGACATACATTTTAAGCAAAATATGGCCTCAGGCACTGTAGTACTGTTGATGCTTTTTAATTCGAAGATTTCCTACCATTGTAGTTCTTCAGCACAGGTTCTATGGCTTAGGACAGCCGGCTGTGGACCTGGACGCACTGATAAGTCATCTACTTGGACATACAATAATGTATCTGTGTGCTGAGAAAGAAAAATCAAAGGCTTTTGGGTGTTTATGCCTACTTGATGATCTCGGAAGAATGAATCAATTTATATTTATTTTAGTGAAAGATAAGCTACATGACCATAAAATATAAGATCTACTTCATTTTTTGAAACTTTCCATCACAAATTGCCAAAAGATCCTTCCTGAAAACGTCGCAATGAATCATGCTATTCAGAAGCCAAACTTCCAGGATCCTCTTCCTGTTACTTGTATAGACACAGAGACATGCAAAGATTAATTACTGTCCCTTTCTTAAAGAAATATTCATTTAAGACTGAGATAATTAGAAAAATGTGAAAAGAAACCTTTGACCATCAGTGGTTGTGAAAGTGGTTTTTAAATCTTTTCCAAAATTTCTAGAGGCTTCTTGCATTGGACAGGGAATGAGAAAGATAAAAAGTGTCAAATCTGAGGCCACTTGACCCACAATACGATACAAAAACTTTTTTGTTTTCGTTGACTTTGTTTATTCTTCATAGAAAGATTTACCTTGGAGCAAAAAGGAAAAAGAAATTTAAAAATTAGTGTACTATGAGAAAGAAAAAATATCCAAAGTAAAACCCAAAGGAAACTTGACAAACTTGTTTAGCTAACCAACCAGTTGATCATTAAACAAGAATTTATTGAGTATCTATTTGTGCCAGTCACTGCTCTAGGGACCCTTGAGACACATCAGGGCAGGGTAGAGATTTCTGCCTTCACCAGATTCCTTCCTCTGGTGAAAGGAAGACAAATAAACAAAATAAATGAGAATTTTTTTAAAGTATGTTAAAAGATAGTAATTTCTATGAAGAGAAACTAGATCATGGTATGGAAGTTCAGGAGACGGCCAAATTGCAGTATTAAGCAGGGTGGTCGGTTTTAGTCTCCTTAACATTTTTAGCAAAATCTTGAAGTATGTGAGAATACTAGCCAATTATTTAACTATTTCAAGATAATTATATGTTATTTTTCCAATATAGACACCTCAGAAATATATCTACTTAGCTTTTCCTTGAAAATGTGGTATTCAGATAACTAGGTGTCAGCAGTCTCAACTATATATCATTCTGTGAAGTCATTAGTATGGCAAAACATTAATTTACAAAAAAAGTTTCATCTCATTGGTACCTCCAGTCCATGAAAAAATGTCTATCTCCCTGCCTCCTTCAACCAATAAATTTGCATCTGAAAACCAGCATTTTACCAATGATTTCCTAGGGTTGCTCAAAGTGGAGGCAAGCCTATTTCATCCTCATTATTGTATGTAAGATAAATGTTAAAGTGTAAAGAGTAACAGATATCTAAATAATTTTGATTGAGGATAATCAATCTTTAATACTTTTTTGTACAAATGTTCTCTGTAGTACGGATCATCAGGACATGGGTGTCTAGTTAGTTTCAACCAAAGACAATGCCAGAATCATAAATAATAGGGTATTAATATGATGGAAAGAAGATATTAAGATAATGATACTGTTTTTGTTAAACCTTTGGCAGATTACAGATCAATCGTTTTAAAATCATTTAATCCAAATGCACACGGTATCTTTTCCTTATTGTCACCATTAATAAAAAGCCTCCTCTATGCACTTTTGCAATTTGTCATGTAACATTAGCCTCAGTAATTGAGTATTTTTATTAATCCATATTACAGATCATAAGGTTTTGATATTTGAGGCTAAATTATTTACTCAAGGTCAGTAAGGAACAAATCTGGAATATGAACCCAGCTCTTATGACTTCAGGACTATTACCCATCAGTTACAAGGTGGAGTTTTACTCCCTCAAATGAAAATCTTGATAATGAGAGACACCGGCATTCTAGATAAAAATCTGTGAATGGTTTCCTTTATACTACCACTAAATTTATTGACTAAGAATAAGAAGATGAAACTCTGTTTCATGATTATTAGTGTTTAACTGAAGAAAAATCTTTGAAGTCTCCTTAAGGTTGGCTATTCTATATTATGATAGTTATTTTGGTTCAAAATTGTACAAAGTTTTGCCTATCATAATAAGCAGCGTCACCTTTCATGCCTTGTAACACAAAGAGGGACAATATTATATTATTATATTTTTAGAAGATCTCTAATATTCTTCTCTGCTCCAAAATGTTATGATTCTAATTAAAGATCCAAATTTATCTAGTTTAAGAGCTAAAGACTATAGAAAATTACATTGTTTTTTAACCTCTGACCAGCACAATTTAGGAAATAGCCTCCTATCAAGCCTAAAAGTGTTGATGGTTGTTAAAAATCTAGATTAAAAAAGTACATTTGCAAATGTATAAATAACATAAAGTCATTATTTTGGAGAAGAAATAATCAGTTTAACCTCCATTATGTCATAATTTGAAAGTTTTGCTATTTGCAACATATTTCAGTAAAACGCATCTAAGTTTCTATTCATACCACCTCATTTTTTAAACTATTAAAGTACAGAGAGTCCTTTCTGTGCTCCTCTCTGAGGATAAGTTAGTCTACAACAAGTTTAGTAAAAGTCTTGTTTAGATGATCAGTTTTTCAATGTTATCATTGTTTAAGGAATGTATAATGACACAGAAAACTTTGCTTCACAGAGCCAGGATTACAGAAATACATTCAAGCTGGGACTTTTATTAGTAATACATGTAACAAGATTGGTTAAATCACAGCAAGAGATAATACATAAGCATATACTCTTCAATTAGTTTTTCTTGGTTCTACTCAGAACTAATGAACATGTAAGCTAAAGATGAACTAGTAAACAAACATTGAATTCTAAATAGTCACATAGCCTTCTATGTGTACTGTATAGATAAAAGTAGATATTTAATGTCTGATATTATAAGGTGAAACTCCGGTCTTCCCACGGTCTGCGGCTGTGAGTTAAGGGGATCCAGTATTGCAAGAGTAGAGGTAACACAGTAGAAAATTTAAACAAATATTCTTACTTCTTAGTTTGTATATGCACCAAACACAGGCATTTCAACAGTAAGGGTCTGTCAACATTCACAAACTTTTCTGAACAAACAGATGACTTATTATTATGAAACTAAATGAGGAAATACAATTTAAGAATTTATACAGAAGAAGATACATATCATATTTTAATAACCAAATTAGGTCTATATCAGAAATCACAGCAAAATATATTTTAAAAAGCATAAAACAAATATGCATTAGGATTTTAGTAACTGGAAGTTGTGCACTTCACAGACAAATTCGCTATATAGCAACACAGGACTTGAAAATGGTATAAAAATAAAAATCATGGAAACTGTGTGATCTGAATGTTGTATCTTTCCAAAATTGATAAACTGAAATCCGAACCCACAAAATGACGGATTAGGAGAGGGGGATTTTGGGATTTGATTAGGTCCTGAGGGCAGAGCCTTTATGAATGGGATTGCTGTCCTTATAAAAGACACTCCAGAGAGCTCTCTTTCTCCCTTTCAAGTGAGGACACAAAGAGAAGGTAGTGATCTATGAACCAGGAAGCAAAATCTCACTGGACACCGACTGTGTCAGCCCTTGGTCTTGGACTTCCCAGCCTCCAGACGTTTGAGAAATAAGTTTCTGTTACTTACAAGCTACCCAGTTTATGGTATTTTTATATAGAAGCCCAAATGGACTAAGACAAAGACAAAAGAAAATGTATTAAAAAAACACCAAATGCTTTATTCTTTTCTAAGTATTAATAATATCAAATCTATTATAAGAGTAAGTTTAATGAAATATTATTGTGGTATGACAGTATAGATAAAAATTTAAAGCACATGGTAATATTAGATATTACTCATCAATTAGTTCAGGTGGAAGAGTTGTATCCAGGTCTTAACAATTACAATTAGCTTTAACAATTAGTTTTGAGAAAAATCTATCTTTATTACTTTTATAAATTATACTAATTTAAGATCTACTCTTCACAAAGAGAATAAGGCTTATGCACTTTCAGAATGTGTAACTATATTCTTTTCAGTTCTACTTGTAATATTTTGCTCTTCTAGTAACATGAGAAGCCTGGATAATTAAACAGTAAATGTCCATTTGACTCTTTAAAATGGACAGTTGAAACCACCGCCCCCAAACAAATACATTTAAGTCATGAAAATCGCAAATTCAAGATACAATAAGAAAAATGTTCTGGAAATACAATGGTCAAAGAGAAAGACAAGCTTTCTGCCCTCATAGAGCTTACACTCTACTAGGAAAAGTTAGCATTAAGTATAATCACAAATACAAATATGTAATTACAATTATGATGACTTATGAAGGAAAAGTACAAGCCTCCAATCAAAGTGCCAACATTCGCTGATAATTATTAACTTGTGCTCCTGAGCTATTAACCAGCTATTATGGCTTGATTTTCATGTATAACATATTTTGACTTTTTTGTAATTTAAATAGTCATTCATTTCTGATAAGCCATTAAAGTAAAATATAAATAAACAATCAAAGCAATTATTGGAATGAAGTGACCAGTTACACATACATAGGAAAAGAAACAAGAACAAAAGAGAAAAGACATACTTCATTCAAGGCAAACAGATAAACCTAAATTCTAAATAGAAAGGAGAATAAAATTAGCATTATCAATGATCCTAACAACAACATCATTGACAAATTTCAAGCCCCAAAAAAATGTGATCCAAATTTCATGAAGACTATTTGAATCCATCTACCCACAACCAGCAAAAGTAAGGTTGGCTTTGAATAACAGATCTTCAGCTGCCCCAAAGAAAACTATAATTCATTCAAAGTTTATTCTTAACCATATCCAGTTAAAGGTGACATATCTTTGTTTAGGAATGTAAAAAACACAAGTAACAGACTGACTCTAAAGTTTGAAACAGGATGACTAATTAAAAATAGGAGGCACTATGGCCTATGAGAAGAATGAGTAAACTCGTGTTTAATTCATTGTGATTCTGCCAGCCCACAGCAGTGGTCTCTAACATGTCTCCAGCTGACTTCGCCATTTTTGTCATGTACACATGATAAGGGATTTTGCAGTTTCCAAACCCTGAGTTGTTATGGAGCACAGAAGGATCAACATCAACTCTGTAAGGACACATCACAAAGTGAGACCAGTGCTTACCTCGAGAGAAAGGACTTGAGAGGAGGATGAAGAAGGTTATCAAAAGGCATGTTCTTTTTACATGTGTTAATTATTTTTTAATGAAATATATTCATCTATCACTGGACATTTAAACAGTTAGAAAATATTTAAGAATTCATAAAGAAGAAATCAAAATAATGAAGATGTTCTTGAATTTATTTTTTTATAGTCTTTTTTTCATAAAGAAAGACATTAATCCACAAAACTTCATTCCAGATCCCCTGAATTCACTACTCACACAAGAGAAAAGTGGGGAAATTGAGAAAATTGCTCCATGATTATATTGAGATATAAAAATTTAGGAAACATAAGTTTACACTGTAAATCAGTTATATAAACTGTCCAGACTTAACCCCGATTTTATGCACAACTAGGATTTAACTCCACATAGGAAATTGCAATGTAAAGTTCCTAAATTATTTTTTCCAGATTTTTTTTTAATTCCTCCAACAGATGGCACAAGGTGGGGATATTCACATAAGACAGACTTGGATTGATGTTATGCTTTCCTTTTTCTGAATTCCTACTTCACTTTGTACCAGTCTCACAGCACTTCCATTCTGTCATTCATTCTAACTTGCCCAAATGTTTTCATTTCCTTGTTATATGAACACTCTGTGGATGCCATGTCATAGTCATGATTGTATTTCTGCTCTAGAATATAGATTTGTTGAATTAATCTGCAATTAGAGAAGACTTACAATCACCTTTCTCATTTCTCTACATCTAATTAAACAATATGAAATGGGTACCAATGTGATTTGCAAAATACTCAAGTCCATCTAAAAATCTTCTCTCTCCATTTAACAGCAAAAAGCTTACTCGTCCCAATAATAGAAGAAGAATGCAATGAAAAAAACAAATTCCTGTCCTCTGTGTCTTTGTGCTGATTGAGGAACAAAATCTGATGAAAACTGGTGAAGTTAAAAAATAATGTTTGACACACATGCCAACAGAAAACATTTAAGACTGACATAGAAAAACTAAATAAAGTTAAGTGACACTTGACATTAAGTACACCAAAACAAATATCAGCTGAGTATAAACATGAACTATTCCATATGTAGAAAATGGTTGTATAATTAAAAAATTATTTTAAGAGTTACTTTTTCACAAAATAACAAATATACGAGTGTATATACTTAGAAATTGTGTATTTATACATGCATCCATACAAATACACATATGCATACATACAAACACATATACATATACTTTACTCAGCCAGTAAGATAAAGTATATTCTTCCCTCTATGCCATCCCTAAGTCCACAAACTAAAGAACATGATGAGAAATGCCCACTTAAGAGAACGCAGTGGATGAGATTTTGGCCTCAAGTAAAAATGTTTAGAAAGCACTCAAAATGGTACACAAAACCTCTAAAATAATTGATACATACTGTCATTTGCATAGTTGCTAGAGGCTTAATATGAGATTAAATTATACTATTGAAAATAGCTGCCAAAACCAAAACTGTGATAACCTATGTTGTTGGATCAAAGTATTCAAACAGCATTTGTTTCTAAAGCTCTATTTTACACATTTAAAATTGATATCATTTCTTACATATTGCCTGGCTCATGTTCAGATGCTTTTTCAAGCAGAAAAGTTTTCCTGCTAGATGACACAAACATAAAGGTGCAGAACTGTGAACTGTGGTCCCAATTCACCAGATTAACACTGAGAACACAGGAAAGAATAAAGATATTCCTGCATTTAAACTAATAATAATAATTAAAAAACAGAAACTAAATAGAAACATTCACTAACACACAGTTAAAAATGGTTGATTTAAAGACTATTCTATATGTTTGCCACAGCTGCATACCACTTACTTCCTTTTAATGACAACATTAAACACAATGAGGATGGTTTTAAATGGCAAATTACACATGCTTCTGGATTTCGTACCAACATCATCAAAGAGTACACATGCCTGACTTACCAAGCAATGCGGGAATGCATAGCTAGTTGATAATGCCCTTAAAACAAAGTTAGTATGCATAAAAAGAAATGTCTTGCTCCTCTGTTTGTCTCTTTCTTAATACTGCCTTTTTAGGTTACTACAGTGTTCATGTGCATAAATGACACCTAGCAGACAACAAGATGATGCACCCACAGCAGTACCATTTCAGTGGTGCACATGCTTAGACTTATGTCTCAATACAGAATGGCTAGGGCAGGTGTGCTCCAGAGCTGAATATTTGAAGATCACATATTTACAGTTCCTACACTTATTTAAGTACCATTAAATGATACTGCAGAAACTGACACCGAAACTTGTAGCTAATTTCTAAATATATTAATTATGTGAGCACCTGACATGAAAAAGATCACTCTAAAGAGAAAAAAAAGGGTGGGGGCGAAAATGGAAACATATTGATGGATTTTTCTTATCTTAAATTTATAAAATATTTATTAACACATATACCTACCTCCCAGTGCCCATTACCAATGCCAAAAGGTCTAAATACATTTATGTAACTCAGACACACTGTAATTCATACAGATGATATTAAGAAGAAATAAAATAATGTAATACCTTTACTTTTACCTATGGATTTGATGAAATGGGTCCATGAAGAAAGGGTTTCCAGACAAAGAGGATAAAGAGGAGAAAAACAACAATAAGTATTATGAACATATGTAAAGCCACTACTCTCTGAAAATTAAACAAGACATGAAAGTATAAACAAGGTTTTGAAGACAAATGGAGATGCAATCAGGACATGTTGGGAATTCTGCCTTTTTTGAAGGCAAGTACATGCAAAAAACTGAAAGGCCCATGCTCAGTTTTAAAAGATCACACAAAAGAGAGACATACAATAAATCTACGTAGAGAAAGTATTGATTCTGTGGAACACTATACTCAGCATTCTACAAGCCAGAAGCCAAAGATGTCTGCATGTTCCCAAACTGTCATGCATGGATGAAAAATGGACTTATTTTTTGGATACAGTGGTTTAAACTGAGGATCTTCTTTCAGACAGCAACTTCTGATGGTTCTCGGTTTTTCTTTACCATAACCACCCTTTACTGCATATGCTGATAAGTATATAGAAACTTTCAATCACAATTTCTTATGTCTCATTTATTTGCAAATATTATAATGCAAGAAATGAAGGAAAATAAAAGCCACAGGAACAAACCAAAATCAAACGAACAAAGAAATGGAAGAAAAACACATGAAAAAATGTGAACAAAAGATATGTATTTAATTTGCAGCCATATAATTTGCAAGCATTTGCCCATCCTTTGCAGTGATGGTTTGAAAGCAGCTACAGAACAAGAAAACACTGAAAGCAGAGTGGAAAAGGAACAGAGCCCATACCTTGGTCGCCCATCATCAGGTGCGCCAGACCTTGAAGGGAAACAAGAGCACAGTCAGCAATAAACAAGGGAGCATGGGAAGGCAGGGTTGTCACGGTGACAAAAATGTTCAGTGACAGACATCTCTTTTCCTATGAGACATGTCTGTATCACAGAGGCAAATCAAAAAGCATTCTTTCAACCCCTGGTTGGAATGCTTTGGGGCAAAGTGTTCTAGAACTGCGTTTTAAACACTGGCATATGCTGCACTGTGTATTTCTTCCATGCATCAGTTGGAACAACCAAGAGCACAAGAGCATGACTTAAAATCCAACCAAACCCCTCAATATTACATCTGCCCTCTGTGCCCTTTAATGAGACTGTTTTGCATATTGCCCCCACAGGGCTTGTAATTCTTCAGTGATGAAATTACATTTTTTTAAAACCCAATGGAATACATGAAACATGGGCTGGGTCTGATCTTTTTCCCCTCATCAAAAAATGAGCATTTTATAATTAAATGAAGAAAAAAAAATTGTAGTCACATTGAAATGATAATGCAGAAATGTCTCCTTGTCTGACACATGTAGCGGCTGACTAGGCTTGTTCAAATACAAAATGATCATTAGACATGCAGTTGTAAAGCTAGAATTTACTACAAAAAAGGGTTTTTAAGAAACAATGGGTCAGCTGCAAATACACTAAAGCAATTTTCCTCAGAGAACAAAATTATTTGAGATTTCACCTAAATATTTCTTAAATGCTGAACTCTAAGTTAGTGTAAAGATACATATTACAGATGTAATTTCATCAAGGAATTCTTTAAAGGACATTGAAATTCCTTTATTTAATTTATTTATTATTTCCTGCTTGACAATTCACTTCAAACTGAAGAGCACTTCTCTTCTAAATAATACTACTAACATGCTTTCAAAAATTCTTTTGCTATTCAAGAAGTTACTTTTTACTGAAAGGCATAATTCCTAGCTTTTTATTTTAAATTCAGAAATAAAGCTATTTCTCTATCCATGTATATGTCTACAATACGGGAAAATGTTAGAGAAATACACATTTATCAGTTTTAATAAACTTGTATTTTCAATTTCCAGTGCTATTTCAGATATATTTGAAACTTTATTTGAGCTATATAACATTACACATTGGTTTCATCAGTATTTAAATTATCTGTGTTGTTTTCTTAAAATTTTAGGGGTATTCAAACATCTCTGTAGGCTAGATATAATTACAAATAATCATCTAATCACAATATAACATGAAAGTTATTAAACACAGTAGTGTGATGCCTCTGAACTGTAGCCTCTCTGTATTTTCTGAGTGATTTTAACAAAAAGTTCACACAGGCAGATTCAACAGCTTATGATCTATTGATAATTCATAGTGTTTTATATGCTGATAGTGGCTTATTTGTCCAGGTTACATATTTTTTCATTTAATTTCACTTTTAAAACTACTACAGATATTTCCAAGTAACATTTTATAAGTTTTATGGACTAAATGAGGAAATTGTCTTGAAGATCTACCTTTTAGAAAATATATTAGGTACTTCCAACGGTTTTGATGCTACATCAATAAGGATGGAAATTCACTAATCCCCAAAGAATTCACATTCTTCCTGCTAGACTTTCTACCTATACTGTAAAGGTCATATTATAGATAGAAATATTAAAATTATGATTGAACAGACTTTATTACAATAGCTTATGGGCCTATATTCTAAAAATAAATCTTACCATGGGATGAGTGTGTGTGAAAAGAGAGAAGCATTCATGCTAATTAGGCTGATTTTAAAGCCTCTTGGGATGCAATAGGATTTTAAGAGAAAAGAAAAGCATTTCACAGGATGGATAAGGAAATGCAAAAGAAGTTGAAAAGATACCTCTAAAAAATAACTTTTAAACTCAGTTGACATGCACAATATAAATGAGACTGACTTCAAAAGATATTAGGCCTGCAGGGTAATATATCATTTTTATCAAGTATATACTCACATGCAATTAAAATTATAGTATACAAAAACAGAAGCCATATATGGATACAACACTTAGAAAATAGTAATTTATGATTTCTTTTAAAGTTTTAATCTATTTTATTTAAATAACAAAACAGAAATGTTCAGCAGCTAAGCAATTATAATATTATCCATGTACGAATCACAAATATAATGTTTACCCCTGCTACTGGTCAACTCTGTATTATCATGAAGTGTTCTTTCTTAGATACATGAAGTCTTGGTAACCTTAATGGCTATTTATCTGTAACCTGGGATAGGGAGTCTTTTTCTAAGAAATCCTTCATTCTATGGAAATGTACATTTACAGAATGACTATATTTCAAAATATGGTAGTAAAATAAAATATACTAAATGCTGTCTTCCCATATACAAATATTAGTAAATTAGTAAATCTTTATGTAGGAACTGTTAATGCTGTGAATATATAAGTTGATAGAACATATATAATTTGATAAAACCTTCCCTTTCACCATTCTTTTGTTATGCCTTGTTCTTTTTGCATGTTAACACTTTGAAGATTTGTTTGTAGCACACTGACTAATGCATTTAAGTTCTTAAAAAATGAGAATAAGGAAATATGTTTTAATTTGCTGGATTCTACAGGAAAATATATAAGCTATATAACTTCTTCAAAATTCCTTGACAGAGATAATTTTTTATAAAAGACTGAATAAAATATTTAGCAGGCAAAAAATATTACAAATATACTTACCAGGAATCATATCGAAATGCTGTATGCTTTCATGTCCACTGGCCAATGGCTTATTTTTTAATCTAAATTTATGTCTCTTACTTATACTCAGTACTTTATTGCATTCTTTTTATACATCCAATCATTTTAAACAAACCAATGGGCTTGAAATGAGATAATGCTAAATTTTGCCAGAATAGAATAAGTCATTTTGATAAAAAATGGAAAAAGGATCATGCACTGTCTTATGAAACTACAAAGAAATATTTTGTCTTTTAAAGTAAAAAAAGCAGAATTGTTATCATTTTTCTCATACAGAACACTGTAATAACTATTCTAAGCTTCATATGGGATGCTGAGGTCTAACAAGGGTTGGAGTTAAGCTTGAAAAAGTTTCATATACTTGGGATGGCAGGGTTGAGAATGTATGTGTTCTGTATGAAAAGTGATACACAATCCAGAAACCAACAAATGTTCAGAAAGAAGTTCAACTTACCATCTAACTTCAAGATGTACCCTATTAGTACTAAGAAATAAAGGACAAATGAGAGTTGGAAAAATAAGGTAGAAAGCACCCACCTTCCACATTGTTGTCTTCTGAAAGCACATGACAAGGAGGGAGAGAAAAGGAAAAACATTCATTAAGCAGCATGCAGACTGGACCTTGCCTTTGCATGTCTTCCTCATGCAAGGCACCAAACACATCATGCAAGTGCTCCATCACTATCATTCAAGGGGGAAAACAAAATCACAGGGAAGCAGGTTCCCTCCCATTGGCAGCATTGATAGGAAGTGAGACAAACTTTCATAATACTGCCATGCCCTGTGCAAAGAGTTTTTAAAAAAATCTTTCAACTACCCAGTATAAAGCAAACATTATTGTTATTACATGTTGCTGGTGTGGTCTTTCTAGGCAATTATTTTTAAAAGCTTTTTTGTTTTCTTTTTAACAATTCTAAAAGGTTCTATTTCCACATACTGATTTGGCCTTAGATTTTAAGAAGTCTATTGGAAAGAGCTATGAAATTTCACTTAAAGATATTCCAGTTCTACCAAATATATTATCCATATGCCATTACTGCCTTTTAGTATTTCTAATACCTCAATTGCTTTCCTTAAAGAAAAACAACGTAACTATATGGAACTAAAATCTGCAATTTATTTGGTTAATTTATAGCATATTAATATTGTATTGCAAATGAGAATAGTTTATTGGAATTTATAAAAATGCTAACTTTTAAAAATGTTAGGTAGGAAAGTGATCACTGGAAGAGAAGTCCACTGGGAACTGTCCATAAGGCAATTTGGTTTGTCGTGATTTAAAAACTTTGTACTTCTGTTGAGGATGTGAATATGAATTTGTTTGAGACAATGAAAATATTTAGCTCAATTTCTCTTATATTTCTATATATCTATAAAATACCTACATGTTTTCATATATTTTGTTAGTCATATTTCCATGTGTGTACCTATGTATATATGTATAAACATATATATCCAAGCAGATTTGTATTTCCCAAGATAATCAATATAAATATATAAGGTTTAAAGTATTATTAGTACCTAGTGGAAAATTCAAGTTCTATTTGAGACTCGGGGCCTGCAATCCCGGCAAGAAATGGAAGGGAAAGCTGTCTTAGGGGACTAGGGCAAGAGCAAGGTTTCAGTAGTTATCAAAAATGTTCTAATAGTAAACTCTACCCATGTTGACATTCTAGTCTCATCCTTATTTTTTGTTTAATTAATTGTACTTTATAAACTCATCATCTGATCAGAGGTGTTTATAAACATGGCAACATGCAAGTATAGAAACTTGAAAGCAAAAACAACTAAGAATGTACCATTTGATTAGGTTCACCTAAAACCTTCTTAATTGGATAAAGTTACTAGTGAATTAAAAATCAACAATTTTGTTTAAAACATTTCAGCTGAAAATTGAAGTATCAACACAGGCACATCTACTGATGTGGTGTTAGCATGTAATAGAAAATGGCTGGTGGCTAAATGTGGGTAATAACATCTTTACACAATACTTGGTTTTCCAGAGTTTATTTTTAAAGAAACAACAAAAAAAACTTTCAAATATTTGGTCTGTGATATTGACTTCTAGTTTGTTTTTGTTTGTTTTTTGGACTGCCAATTTATTAAACAAGGAATTAGGCTGAATTTGTTACTTTTCAGTGGTGACTTTGATGTTACACAAACACAAATATTAAAGTTTTGTTTTACTGCATTATATTGGACATAATACAAAGATATAAATTATTGTAATGTTTAAGATATACTTTTCCTGTATATTAACTTTGAAATTGTATCTTCTGTTTAAGATGCTTACTTAACAAGATTATTTAATATGTATTGTAAAATAATAAAATCAGGGAATTTAGAGGAGAGTCATGTGCCAAGACAGTATGTCAATTGCTACAGCATTATTTAATTTCTGTAAAGACGGGCAAATATGGTTGTGAGGAGCAGTGCTTCGGTAGAAATTTTGGTAAAGTGTGGCCTAAAACTACAATTAAAAAAAAAGGAAAGAAAAGCAAACCAACAAAATGAAACAGGCCCAGGCCTGACACCAACTTTAGGAATGCACTAAGTAGGGCATTATAAAAGGAGTTCAAGGTCACTGATTCAGTCCTGACGGCAAGTTCTCCTTTCATGACCATAGATACAAGCCTAGGTTTTGCCATGGATCCTACTCTACCATCTAGCATTTTTTTCTGAATTCTTATTCATAATGAGAACAAGCTTAATAATGGGAATTCCTTTAAACGATCCAAGTCATGTTTAATGTGTAAACAAATTCTGACTCGACTAAATCCAGAAAAGTGGTCTGTCTCAGAAAATTTAGATTTAGAAAAAAAAAATCAAAGTACTAGAATAAATGGGTGATATATTAACCACTGTTTAAAAAAAAGATGGTGATGATGATGAAGACAACTGGCTTGGAGCAGACTTTCCTTGAGTTTCCATATACTTTCAGATTCAATCTCAGAATAAAAATCCTCTTTCCTCTTCCATTCTATTCTATTCTGGTATCCATTTGCTAACTTTACATAATTTAAAACTTGTTAACCTAAAGAAAATCCCTACATTATTTCAGAATTTGGACGTGATTATAACTGGTGGTAGCTCCAGCATTTACAACCATTCTCCAGGTATTTTTTTCCCTTCTCTTTCCTTTCCATTTTATTTCTGTACTAAATAATAAATGTCGAGTCAAAAAAGAATAGTTTATCTCCTCATAACAATTTTTTCTTTATCTTTGTAAATTCTTATACACACAAATGCTACTTTGCTTTTGAGCAGCAACAAAGACAGGTGCTGAATTTTGGCATGCCACGGTGTACAGGTAAAGCAGCATATTTTGGTTTAGTGTAAGGTAGAAAGCAGTCCATCCGGCCTTACCTGTGGACACTGTCAAGTTAGGGAAAATCTCTTGGTTTGCAGAAAACCCTGGCTTCTTAATTCTGCTGACCTAATCCTTGCTGAGTAAATGAAGTGCGTCTCTTAATCATTAACTTTACTACGATGACCACGCCACCTATAAAGATCACACTCTTGCTTTCTTTTCATTGGAAAAATAATGAATATAGAGCTGTGAAAAAGATACTTTACATTTTATTTTTCTTTCAGATAGGATGGGCTTCTCTCACAAAGATGGGAATTAGGCACCAGAATATCAATCATGCTATGAATAATGGCTGTGTGCTGACAAGAAGGCAAGCAACAGCCTGTTTTAAAATCACTGTAAAAGAGCATCTTCACAAAATTTTTATCTTCGGCCCCCAGCTTATAAGAATGCAAGGACAGTAACTTTAGTTTATCATTCCAGTGTTCTTTGCACATACTCTTAAGTATACGGTTCTAGGAAAACAAATGAATACAAAAACAAATGTGCTTGTTTCAATATAAAGAAAATCATGACCAGTAAAAAATTAAAATTTGGAATAAAATATCACAAAAATCTCCTTTCTGTATAATCAGTGCTAAAGTTTGGCAATATGTAAGTCTTTCTCTAAATGTACAGACAGTGGTCCATTTAGTGCTACAACTTACATTAAAAAATGACCAAAAGAAGCTTCCTGATATCACTTGGGCATTCCTTTACTTCTTTAATTTTTGGTTTCCTTCCTTCTCTGCTAGATGCCTGTGACTGGCTCCCCTCATTTTCCTTGATTCCCTCTCTCCTCCATCAAAACTGCCACTACTGCGAGTAGCTTCTGTCCCAGATACCAGCACTCCAAGGTATGGCATATTACAGCAAAACTGGTGGTGGTAACAGGCAGTGGAAAGACAGATGAAGAATAAGATTCTATTTCCTTCCTCCATACAGGGAGTGTGCTAACTTCTATCCACGTCTCTCTCGCCCATCACATTACTTCTCAAGCCTGTACTCCTCATTTTGGAGATCAAATGCCAGTACAGCAGAGCTTAGTTCCCATGGTGGCACAGGATGGAGCTTTGTTTTTTCTTTTGGTATTAGCAGTGAAAGCCTTTAAAAAACCTCAATAGTCTGGGAATGCTTCAAGCACTGGGAAATGGAGGAAATCATTGAGACTGTGGATTAAAGCAGCAGTCAGCTGAAGGAATAGAAATGCGGCCCAGAACCAAGACGATGTTCAAAGAGAAAATGAAGCATAAAGGTCCATTATGGAGACTTAGGGAAGGAAAGAAATGGTCCTGGACAGGAATTGGGCTAATTTCAAACATGCTTTTTAACAGAGGACATCACCTCCTTTTTCAATCCCAGCTAAATAATATTGCAGGACACTCCCACCCAGCCTGCTTGGAGTACTCATCCTAGGAAATATATGGAGTCAACTACAACAACCAGTTTTTCTCCTTCTTCACTGCTCGGGAATAAAAAATGTATCTCTAAACCGGATGCAGCAACACAGATGTTCCTGGCATCACACTAGAAACACTTAAAACAATTTCCCCCCAAAATATTTTGTTACAAAGACATTTGTGGTATTTAATTCAAAATGTTCTATCTTGTTAATGACAATTAAAAGAAAGAAGAGAAAAAGAGAAAGGGGGCAGGAGGAAGGAAAAGCAAGAAAGCCTAAAGTTATTGCGATTTATAGTGATTAAGCTATTTGATGAACCTGATGAAATTTAATAACTGTTAGTCAACATATTATAATATAAATCGAATGACTCACATAAGCTATAATGAATTCAATTTCAAATTTTCATGAGGAACTACTACAAGGATTTTCAAATTTGTTTTGCTTTGATAATCTCAGTTCTTCCCCAAGTCTAAATCTTGAGAGTTAACATTTCAACATTCATTTCAATAGTTGGACTTAGGAAGGAACACTGAATTTAACAGTGACTGTAAACATGGTGACAAGCACAGTCTACAGTATGTGTGCTCACACCACCTATTTTTATTTTTTATTGCTGAGAAATGAATGCTTCCTGATACGGAATTGACAGACAACACTGAGCAGAGTGCTTATCACATACCCTCCCAACCAAGCTTAATCACTGTTAAACAACTCTCCTAAGAAAGGTGGCTCAGGTGAGCAGTGCTTTCCTTTCTAAGAGTTTGACGTCATCATATTTTAGGATACAGAGCAAGAAAGCTCTTGGACTGAGGTTAAGAGAGTGAACTTAAATACACCCTACCTACTTTCCCAACTTACCAACCCTTCTAGTGGTTATGTGGTTTTGACTTCTTTGTTAACAGATGGACAGGAGACATCCTTTGGCCTGTGTATTACCATCAGAGAATATTCTGCAATGTGTTCTAGGTTTGCTATCATTAAGATGAAAAGTAGGTGAACTCCCACTAATAAGACTAATGGTCTTCATTTGAAAGAGCTGTCAAATGTCTACTGGTATATAAATTTTTTTCACCATTTTTTTTCATCTTACTACAGATGTTTTTCAACTAAATATTAAAATACTCTTAACTTTATTATTCTATACCTGGGTTCTTAGACATGTCCAAAACAAATCTATTTAATTTATCTAAGAAAAGGCAAAAATACTTTGTGATGAAATTAAAAATATGACTAAACCACATTGTAAAAAGGAGTCTTAAGTTTGATGCTTAAAAATTACATTTACATGCAGTGTACAGAAAATAAAATTATTTATATGATATGACCGACCTGACAATTATACATTCTTTTTATATCAAAGAAAAAATGAAATTTTATATCAAATTAAAAATATTTTATATTGTTATCTTCACTTCAATAGGACCCTCACATATGTAACAAACAGCTTGGAAGGAAGCTATTCCTTGGAAGGAAAAATGCACAGCATATTAAAAGGATTTGATTTTTCATTTCTTCAGAGCTCTTAGTTTTTCATTTTATATGGTGTTAAAAATTCACTGTATTTACATGTGTCAGTTTATGACTAAATTAATTTCAAAGTTTTATGAAAATCACTGAAAATTATTTTAAAAGGAATAGGCCATTCTTAGCTAAATAAATTAGATCATACATTGAAATTTTCCAGGAGGCTCTCGGGATTGATTAAAATATTATTTTTTTTTTCTGGAGATGGAGTCTCACTCTGTTGCCAAGACTGGAGTGCAGTGTCACCGTGTTGGCTCACTGCAGCCTCTGTCTCCTGGGTTCAAGCAATTCTCCTGCCTCAGCCTCCCACGTAGCTGGGATTACAGGCACCCACCACCATGCTCTGCTAATTTTTGCATTTTTTTAGTAGACACAGGATTTCACCATGTTGGCCAGGTGCCTGGCCAAAAAATATTACTTATAATCAGGCTGAGCACGGTGGTTCACACCTGTAATCCCAGTACTTTGGGAGGCTGAGGAAAGTGGATCACTTGGTGTCAGGAGTTCGAGACTAGCCTGGCTAACATGGTAAAACCCCATCTCTACTACAAAGACAAAAATTGGCTGGGCATGGTGGCACATGCCTGTAATCCCAGCTACTCAGGAGGCTGAGGAAGGAGAATCATCCTTCCTTCCTGCTCACTTTTGGTTTCCATTTACATGGAATATCTTTTTCCACCTCTTTACATTAAGTTTATGTGAGTCCCTATGTATTAGGTCAATCTCTTGAAGACAGCAAATACTTGGTTGGTAGATTGTTACCCATTTTGCCATTCTGTATCTTTTAAGTGGAGCATTTAGGCCATTGACATCAATGTTAATATCATATGTTCCCACTTACAAGTGGGAACTAAGCTATGAGGACACAAAGGCAAACATAATAGACTCTGGGGACTCAAGGGAAAGGGCAGGAGAGGAGTAAGGGATACAAGATACACATTAGGTACAGTGTACACTGCTCGGGTGATGGGTGCACCAACGTCTCAGAAATCGCCACTAAAGAACTTATCCATGCAACCAAACACAACCTGTTCCCAAAAATCTATTGAAATAATTTAAAAAAATAATGTGCTAGAAAAACACACACACAAAATATAACTACTGGTATCACTTTTTTTTCTTAACAGCAATAGAATAAATGAGTAAGAAGACTGTGAGAAGACTGAATGATTTCATAGATCCTGCTGCAAGAAGGCAGAAAAACCTCAGAGAAAAATACTATTTTCTTAATTGCATTTATTTGTTGATTCTATAAAGTCTAAGAAACTTTAATACTGCTTAATTTCCTTTATTAAAGAAAAAAAAAGGCTCCCAGTCCTCTTCTCTAGATTGTTACAATAAATTGCTTCCTCAAGAAAAAACAAAACAAAACAAAACAAAAAAACACGCATTTAGAAAATATTTTGTCCTACTTTAAGAGCAAAATTAGGTCCAGGTTTATAAATGTGTTTACCCATGGGCATTCTAACCACTAGAAATCAAAGAAAGAATTATTCCATAAATTTCTTGCTGTCTTTAAAATTTAAAGAAAAGCACTCGTTTCATACCCATCACATAAATTGTGCCTTCCTTTTAAAACATCTGAAACAAAATGACACTTTTGTTCAAAGCCAAATATTTTGGTAGGTGAGACAATATATTATGAATTTGCCACATAAAATATATTTGCTCTTTCATTTGAGTTATAAAATGCAAATTTGGTAAAAAATATTACTTTCATTCCCCTTACATACTCGCTGTGTAGTAAATCTCCTGGGAACTGAGCAGCAAATTATAATTCTTTTGCAGGAAGAAAAACTAAATACTATACAAACTGCAATTCTCTTTTGGAAAAAAAGTGTTTTGTGTTACAGAGTTATAGGAAAATAGTTTGTTCATAGGTACAACCAATTCTATACTTTTGAAGATATTATATATGTAGTTATTTGAGTTAATGTCTAGTGACTAAACTAAACCCATATGAATATTGGTCATGTGGAAGAGAGAGCCATGATCTTGATTAATCCATTTTATATCTGTTGATTTACTGATCCATAAAATCAAATCAACACAAATACAAATTTCTAGGTACCCTAATGATTCCTTTTTAATGTTTTCCTGAAATGGGCATTCACTACTTAAGAAAACATGCTGAACAGAAAGAGAAATTTCCTTTTGTAACCCTAATATAGCTTCTTAAAATATTAATTCCATAATTCAGAGAAGTTCACTTTACTTTTTAAAAATGTATAATAAGAAGACGGTATACTTAATTACTTCTTCAAATTTGTTTAAACTGCTTTCTATGACTACCGGCAAGTCTGCATTTCTACCAAAACAATTTCAAGAAAATTTAATTTTAAAAATAATCTCATCAAGCCACACCTCATTATATGTTGCTTTAAAATGTGTGGCAATACAATGATACCATTACTTCAAAAGCTCCTCCCTAAACATCAGTACCAGCATGTGTGTATCTCTCTAACACATATGTGTATACATATACACACCCAATTGGTATTTCATTTCATAAACAAATCCAAACTGTGATATTTTTCTCAATAAAAATATTTTTTCTACAAAAGTTAACGTGAATAGAAGAAAAACATTTATAATAAATAATTTGATAAGATCATCAATAATAACACAACTACTACATGACCACTTTTCCTATAAACATTTTACCTTACTAATAATAGGCATTAAATAAATTATAAACTTCTCTTTTCCTCTTTGTATCTGTTATTTCAATTTTGTTTGTACGTATTAGAAAAACAGAGTGTTTTCTAACTGCATGATTGAATATGTAACCACAGAGACATATGGCATATTTCTAAGTAAAATTAAAATTTCAGTTCCTTAGCCATGTTCCACATGCTCAATAGCCACATGTAGCCACTGGCTACCAGGCTGGACAGCACAAATTGTGAAGCTTTCAGTCATTACAATAAGTTCTATTGAGCGGTATTAACTACAGCTTCTCTGACAATATCTTTTAATATCAAGCTATTCATATAATGTACATATTATTTGTTCTTTATTCAAAAAAGGAAATAATTAAAATGCATGATGGTTTTAAAAGCAAACATCTATTTAGAGCAGGGTTATTACATTTGTGCAATATGGAGAACTTTGTAATATTTCCACTTAACCTTAAAATAATAACAATTAGGAAATAAACCTGATAAAAATTTTATTGTATTCATTTAAAAATGTGTTTGAATAATTCAAACTCTGGACAATTATTACTCTTTTCATCATAAGTCTTTTCCTTTAGACCTCATAGATGAGAAAACGCTGAACCTATTTTGATTTTTAAGTAAACTAAACTAGTAATCTAATATCGTCTTACTCTTAAGCCCCTCATTCTCGCAGTATGCCCAATTAGATCATTTATCATTACTGTCTTTAAGTCTATGACCATTTTTCAATGTAAGAGTTTAATAAGCTTTTAACAGAGTAGTTTTAAAATTAATTTAAAAAGCGCCTTTCATCCTACTATCTTATATAATGTATTCTCTTATAGGTCAAAGACTTTCCTTCCTATAACATGGGCCTCTTTTTGAATATTACACCATAGAAAAATAAACCAAATGAGCAAATAAAATAGTCAACATTTCTGTAAGACTTAAATACAGCAGAGATAAGGCAATTGGATAAATGGAGCAGTTCACACCTCTAGTTAATTCTAGAAAAGTCCAAGATCCTATTAAGGAACTACTACATAGAAATAAATGAACCAATGAGAAGGCAAATAAAAACTGAGTAGGGAGAATAGAAAAATAATCCTTAGGCTGGGCGCAGTGGCTCAGGCCTATTATAATCTCAGCACTTCGGGAGGCCAAGGCAGGCAGATCACTTGAGGTCAGCAGTTCCAACACCAGTCTGGTGAAATTGCATGTCTCTTAAAAATACAAAAATTAGCCAGGCATGGTGGCAGGCACCTGTAATTCCAGCTACTCAGGAGGCTGAGGCCGGATAATCACTTGAATCTGGGAGGCGGAGGTTGCAGTGAGCAGAGATCACACCACTGCACTCCAGCCTAGGTAACAGGGCAAGACTGTCTCAAAAACAAAAAAGTAACCCGAATATGGAATGGTAGAAAAGCAAAAGAAAAAAAAAAGTGGCAAAATTATCTATGGGATGAAATGATGAAATAAAAAGTTTCATGTCAAGAATGAGTAAGATGTATAATAAAAATTTATAATAGACTTTGCCAAGTCTATTTTAGTATTTAAAGTATTTTCCAAGTCTATTTTCAGTGTTGAAAGAATGCTGGCCTGCTCCAAAGATTAAATATCTTTAATGATTATAGAAAACTGACCTTTTTATGTTAGATTAGTGACATCAAATCTCTATTGATACATAGTGAATGAAATAAGGCAATGCATTTATACCTCAATTTCCTAATGAATAACATTTAATCTAACATTTAATCCATATGTCCCAAGCATATGAGCTGTTGTTTGGAAAATAAACTAAGTATTGAGAAGGAAAGATGATTTCCAAAAGATACTGAGGTCATCTGATATTTTATCAGCACCATGCTCTAACCAACTGAGCTAACCGGCCGACTGGTCATCTGACATTTTAGCCCAACCCTGGTATTAGAACAACTTGAAAGAGATTACACAACATAATGAGATGCTTATTAATATTTATAATGAAGAAAATATGTGTTGGAAAGCCAGAATCAGCATCCTGACTCAGTACTATCTTATATCTTGTACTACTAGAGAAAACACACTTTTACATAAAATAATAAATGACAGAAAACCTTAATACATTTCTGACAGTATTGCAATAACTAAGAAAAAAACTAGTTGTGCAACATGTACAGTAAGTATGTGAAATGGCTAATAGCTGCTAGTAAATGTAGCTTGTGGCAGTACCTAGTAGCTTAGACAATGTATATCTTGCAGCTATCTAAAGTAAACTATGCTCAAAATGTGTAATATTGAAAATAATACTTAACACATGGGGAAAGCACAGTGGAAAGAGAGTAGAAAAGTCACTGCTTTCTGAAATACTGAATAGAAAGTGTCATCGTTTTTTTAATTAATATGGCTCAGAGCAATATGAAAACTATTCTGGACTGAGATTGAGAAAATAGACTTGATAACTTTAAATAGGCCTAATAATAGACTATGAGAATTAAATCAATCACTTGAAAGTTTGTAAACATGTATGAAAACGTGGGTAGTGTGATAATTTTTAAAAAATGAATAAATTGTCAGGAACAAAAAATACACTAAGAAACTACGAATCATTGGAGAATCTAGGCATTTCTTACCAATACTTCAATGTTTTATCTATTCATCTTGAAGAAGAAATTGGAGAGAGCAAGGTGCCTCTCGTTACGAGACTTCTAGGGTCTGTTATCACAAATAAGATAAATCTAATATACTTTTTCTAATATTTAAAAATGTTTCTCAATGCTAAATATTTAACTTGCTCCACAGAGCCTGGCACACAGCAAAAGAATGTAAGACCCCTTATTCAATAATGCCAGATTATAAAGCATCTTATTTATGGCTAATACGTATTTAATGATGTTAGCCATTATATTATTATAATTAATGCTTCCTTATACAAATCACAGGCTGCTTAAGAGCAATGCCTTTTCCATTCCCCTTCTTTTGTTCAGCTTCTAGCACAGTATGTATATGTAGAATTTGCTTAATAAATATGTGTTATAAAGAATAATTAGTTTCCTACCTCAATTTCCTGCTTGGCTTCTATGAAACTATCAGTAGCATGGGAATGAGTATGTTTCTTTTAGTTGGCAGGATTTACTTGCCGCAGTGAGCTTTCTTAAGTTGTATTCTCACACCAGATGTAAGGAACTCAATCAACTGGACATGTCATTTGGGGCAAAATAAACTGAAGGAGTTTAGTATTAGTTGCCATCCAAATTTCAGGCAGTCCCAGATTTATTAGTTAGGCATTTCCAAACTTTCTCCATCGATTGTTGTTTATGAAGTAGATGATGATGATGATGAAGATGATGACAATGATGATGATGCAGAATACAACTGTCTCTTAAACTCAAAAATTATTTCCACTTGTGTAATCTCATTCAATTATTATAAAGACATGGCCATGATTAGTTGAGAGAAAATTAACTATTAAAGATCCAATTGGGTGCTAATAAAGTCATGCATGCCTCAGAAATGGGGATACGTTTCAAGAAATGCATTGTTAGGTGATTTCATCCTTGTGCAAGCATAATAGGGTGTACTTGAACAAACCTGGATGGTATGGCCTACTACACACCTAGGCTATCTGGTATAGCTTATTGCTTCTAGGCTATCAACCCATGTAGCATGTTACTGTACTAAATGCTGTAGACAACTGTCATACAAGGTAGGTATTTGTGCATTTAAACATAGGAAAGGTAAAGTAAAAATATGATTTTTTTTTTAATGGTACACCTGTGCAGGGCACTTACCATGAATGGAGCTTGCAGGACTGAAAGTTACTCTGGGCAAGTCAGACAGTAGATAGTGAGTAAATGTGAAAGCCTAGGACATTACTATACACTATTGTAAACTTTATAAACATGGTACATTTAAGCTACACTAAATTTATAAAAAATGAAAATTAAGGTATGTGTGCTCGATGGCTATTATGTCACTAGGCATTTTTCAGGTCCATTACAATCTTGTGGAACCATCATCATATATGGAGTACATTGTTGACTAAAACGCTGTTATGCCACACCTGACTTCATTGTCAATATCACTATCAGTATTTTTGTCAGAACCATTCAACAAGACTCTAGGAAGTTCCAAACTTTCCCATATCTTCCTGTCTTCTTCTGAGCCCTCCAAACTATTCCGATTTCTGCCCGTTACCCAGTTCCAAAGTTTCTTCCACATTTTTGGGTATCTTTATAGCAGTACCCCACTCCTGATATCAATTTTCTGTATTAGTCTGTTTCACACTGCTATAAAGAACTACCTAAGACTGGGTAATTCATAAAGAGTTTAAATTGACTCACAGTTCTGCATGGCTGAGGATGTCTCAAGAAACTTAAAATTTCATTTTTAGCAAAATGCCTGACACATAGCAAAAAGTCAATAAACATGAGGAATTAAATGAAGAATGAATGACCCAATGGTAAAATCAGGCCTGACTCCAAATTCTATGTTCATTCCTCTGTATTAGGGAGTTTTAGCAAACTTTTAATTAGTCACAGGTACCCTACAGGCTTAGCAGTATATTTATAGGAAGTAAATAATTGTAGATTTTTAAAAAATTAAATGTAGGGGCTGAGCGCGGTGGCTCATGCCTATAATCCCTGCACTTTGGGAGGCCAAGGCAGGAGGATCACGAGGTCAGGAGATCGAGACCATCCTGGTTAACATGGTGAAACCCTGTCTCTACTAAAAATACTAAAAATTAGCTGGGAGTGGTGGTGGACACCTGTAGTCCCAGCTACCTGGGAGGCTGAGGCAGGAGAATGGCATGAACCTGGGAGGCAGAGCTTGCAGTGAGCTGAGATCACACCACTGCACTCTAGCCTGGGCAACAGAGCGAGACTCCATCTCAAAAAAAAAAAAAAAAAAAAAAAAAAATTAAATGTAGGTAGCCCCATTAAAATAATGACTTACAAAGCTTCATTTAGAAATCATATTTTTTGGAAAACTAGCATTGTTTCCTGAATACAAACTATTGTTTCATGATATATTTAGTAAGTTAACAATGAAAACATTTTTAGTAAATTAAATAATTTTGTTTACAATCTAAAAATCAACTTTATTTTTCAGAATTTTAATAGATTTATGATTTATTATTTATAATAAAATATGTCAAACTTAAACCTATTTTTATTGGATAGGATGCAAATATTGAACACAATTAGATTACTGACATTTTAGGATGATCTCAAGCAACTTTTCTTTTCTCTAACAATTTGCCTTGATAAACTTCAAGAATAAGCAAGGTATTTAAGATGGCATTCTCAGGATTTTGGTCCAAATAATTAATTTTAGGTTTCACTTAAACTAGTCACCATGGTACCTAACACGTAAATACTAAACTAAAATAAAGCTCCCTCTAATTAAAACAATTCAAAATAACCACATCAATTATGCACAACAGAAAAATACAATTTTAAATACTGTTTTCAGGGATACTAATCTGGTAAACATGACATACATGTTCTGATTCCAGTGCGGATGTACATTTAGAAAATTCATCCATATAGTAGTTAACTGAGACATGCAGAAACAACAGAACCACCCACTGCATTTAGAATTATATAGCTGTCAATTAAATTTTTAAGAACCACCCATTGCATTTAGAATTATAAAGCCATCAATTAAATTTTTAAATGACTTTCTTATGAAGGGATTATAATACTAGTCCTGACTTTAAATAGAACAGACCTACGAAATAGAATTATTTCCTATTTATTATTTAATTCTATTTATGGCTCCCGAAATTGTGGCTAAACTTAAGTTTTTCAATCCATGAACTTAGAGTGCAGTTTAAGAGATTTAATATTATCTTATTTAAAAGATAAGAAAACCAGGGCAGGCGTAGTGGCTCACATCTGTAATCCCAGCACTTTGGGAGGCCAAGGCGGAGGATCATGAGGTTAAGAGATCGAGACCATCCTGGCCAACATGGTGAAACCCCATCTCTACCAAAAATACAAAAATTAGCTGGGCATGGTGGTGCATGCCTGCAGTCCCAGCTACATGGGAGGCTTAGGCAGGAGAACTGCTTGAACCCGGGAGGTGGAGGTTGCAGTGAACCAATATCGTGCCACTGTACTCCAACCTGGTGACAGAGCAAGACTCCATCTCAAAAAAAAAAAAAAAAGAAAAGAAAAGAAAACCAAAGGCCACATTGTATGACACAACATAACCTTGTGCTCTCTGGGTCACAAGTTTGAATACAACTTCAAAAGAAATAGTGTCAATAACTAAACTACTTAAGAAGCAGACTTCAGATAACAAACAAGATGAAAGTTGCATACTCCTTACTTAAGGATAGTAAGTACAACTTGGCTAAAGTTTTTGTTTTTTGTTTTTCACATTAATTTTAGATGAGAAACTGGAATTCTAAGGTTTGGTTTTGTTTTGTTTTGCTAATAGACTCCTGTATTAAAATACAAGGGGAAAAATAATCAAAAGTAGCCAATTAACCAATAACCCCTGTCCCCAAAAGGGCATCTGAAACTATGTATATCAGAATTTGCAAATTACAAAAAAGAAAATCAACAAACAAGTTTTGCCGGCCTGAGATAGAGATGTATTGCTATGGTTTGGCTCTGTTTCTCCACCCAAATCTCATCTAGAATTGTAATCCTAACGTGTTGGGAGATTGGCCTGATGGGAGGTGATTGAATCACAGGTGCAAACTTCCCCCTTGCTGTTCTCATGATAGAATTCTTATGGGATCTGGTTGTTGGATAAGTGTATGGCTCTTCCCCTTCCTGCTCTCTCTCTCTTCTGCCATCATGCAAGATATGCCTTGCTTTCCCTTCACTTTCCACTATGATTTTAAGTTTCTTGAGACCTCCTCAGCCATGTAGAACTCTGAGTCAATTTAAACTCTTTATGAATTACCGAGTCTCGGGTAGTTCTTTATAGCAGTGTGAAACAGACTAATACAGAAAATTGGTACCAGGAGTGGGGTACTGCTATAAAGGTACCCGAAAATGTAGAAGCAACTTTGGAACTGGGTAACGGGCAGAAATTGGAATAGTTTGGAAGACTCAGAAGAAGACAGGAAGATATGGGAAAGTTTGGAACTTCCTAGAGTCTTGTTGAATGGTCCTGACCAAAATACTGATAGTGATATTAACAATGAAGTCCAGGCTGAGGTGGTCTCAGATGAAGATGAAGAACCTCTTGGGAACTGGAGTAAAGGTCACTCTTGCTATGCTTTAGCAAAGGAGACTGGTGGCATTTTTCTCCTGCCCTAGAGATCTGTGGAACTTTGAATTTAAAAGAGATGACTTAACATGTCTGGCAGAAGAAATTTCTAAGCAACAAAGCATTCAATATGTGACCTGGCTTTTTCCGAAAGTGTACAGTCACATACGTTCACAAACAGATTACCTGATATTGGAACTTATGTTTAAAAGGGAAACAGAGCATAAAAGTTTTGAAAATTTGCAACTGGACCATGTGGTAGAAGACAAAAACTCATTTTCTGGGGAGAAATTAAAGCTAGCTGCAGAAATTTGCATAACTAAAGAGAAGTCAAATGTTAATAGCCAAGACAATAAGGAAAATATCTCCAGGACATTTAGTATATCTTTGGGTAGCCCCTCCCATCAGAGGCCTTGAGGCCTGGGAGGGAAAAAATGGTTGCATGGGCTAGTCACATGGCCCAGCTGCTCTGTTATGCCTTGAGATATGGCACCCTGCATCCCAGTCACTCCAGTTCCAGTCATGGCTAAAAGGGGAGAAGGCACAGCACAGGCCATGGCTTCAAAGGATGCAAGCCCCAAGCCTTGGCAGCTTCCACATGGTGTTGGGCCTGCAGGTGCATAGAAGACAAGAGTTGAGCTTTGGAGCCACTGCCTAGAGATTTCAGAGGATGTATGGAAACACCTGGATGTCCAGGCAGAAATCTACTGTGGGAATGGAGCCCACATGGAGAACCTCTACTAGGGCAATGCAGAGAGGAAATATGGGGTTGGAGCCCCCACAAAGAGTTGCCACTGAGGCACTGCCTAGTGGAGTTGTGAGAAGGCAGCTACTCCAGACCCCAGAATGGTAGATCCACCGACAGCTTGCACCATGAACCTGGAAAGGCTGCAGGCACTTAACACCAGCCTGTGAAAGCAGCCACAGGATCCATACCCTACAGAGCCATGGAGGTAGAGCTGCCCAAGGCCTTGGGAGCCCCACTCTTGCATCTGCATGTCTTGGATATGAGACATGAAGCCAGGGGAGATTATTTTGGAGCTTTAAGATTTAATAACTGCCCTGTTTGGTTTTAGATTTTCATGGGGCCTGTAGCCCCTTTGTTTGGGCCAATTCCTCCCATTTGGAAAGGGAACATTTACCCAATGCCTAAACTTCCATTGTATCTTGAAAGTAACTAACATGTTTTTGATTTTACAGGCTCACAGGAGGAAGAACCTTGCCTTGTCTCAGATGAGACTTTGGACTTGGACTTTTGAGTTAATGCTGAAATGAGTTAAGGTCTTGGGGGACTGTTGGGAAGGCATGATTGGTTTTGAAATGTGAAAGAGACATGAGATTTGGTAGGCGCCAGGGATGGAATAACATGGTTTGGCTCTGTGTCCCACCCAAACCTTATCACAAATTGTAATCCCCATGTGTTGGAGTTAGGGGAGTGGCCTGTGGGTGGTGACTGAATCATGGAGCAGACATCCCCCTTGCTCTTCTGGTGATAGAATTCTTAGGAGATCTGGTTGTTTGATAAGTATGTGGCTCTTCTCCTTTGTGCTCTCTCTCTCTCTCTTCTGCCATCATGTAAGGCATGCCCTACTTCCCCTGCACCTTCTGCCATGATTGAAAGTCTCCTGAGGCCTCCCAGCCATGAGGAACTGTAAGTCAATTAAACCTCTTTTCTTTATAAATTACCAAGTCTCAAGCAGCTCCTTACAGCAGTGTAAAAATAAACTAATACGCGGACTTCACATGTTAGGCTAGTACAAAAGTAATGGTGGTTTTTGCAATTACTTTTACTGGCAAAAACTGCAATTACTTTTGCACCAACCTAATATAATCATATTTTCATTTTATAGATTAGAAAGCTATGGTCCAGAGTGGTTAAGCTGCTAATAAGTGTCACTGGCAACAAGACATACTTTCTAAGAACATTTCTATTTCTCTTTTTAGACCAGTGCTATCTAATAGCACCTTCTATAATGATGGAAATGTTCTATGAAACTTAGGAATGAATTATCACCCTAAGCAAGACTAATTCTCTATATGTAACTGTTCACATCTAGAACTGTGCCCTGGGAAATATCCCACAGGCCTTGTAGATCTTGATGAGAAGCAATCATCCCAATAAGAATTCCTGTTTGTGAGGACTTCTGTGTAGCTCTGGTAAAAATAAAAGAAGGCTCATGATCACCTAGCCCAGATCAGTCTTCCACACAAAGGTAAAGAAAAATGTAATGTGAAATAACTTTTTTCTGAAAATAATATATGTTGCAGAGACAGTCAGACATGTTAGAAAACAGTAGAGAGAGAAAATAATTTACTATAATTGTATTTCCTCATCCTAAGCAACTCCTTACAACATTTACTTAAGAAGCAAATATTATTTTTGGAAGACCCTGGCATACGATTTCTGACAAATGATGGAAGGAATTGGAATGGAGAAACGAAAAACCATCTTGCATCTCTGATAAAATCAAAATTGGCTTCAGCACTCAAAATATGCAGGGCTTGGTTGTTTTTGTTTAGACAGAATTAAAAAGGAACTTGTAGATCTTATTTTAGAATTGTTTTTTCACTTGGCTAAAACAGTAAGCAGTATAATCTGGTACTATAAAAGCAGGACTATGTATTTAGTTTGCCAATTGTTGTGCAAAAATAAAAGCAAATCTTGGAAAAAAAGTTGAGAAGGGCTGATCCATTTTAGGCACTGGTTACACAAATTATAAAGAATGGGTATAACTCTCCTGGTGAAGAAATTCACAGCTAAGCAGGAAACTCGGGGTCTCCAACACAAACTACTCTCTAATGTGACACTGGGAAGGTCTTTCCACATTGTGAGCCTCAGTCACCCTATCTTTAAAATGGAGATAATAGAATCTACTTCATAGGATTATTTTAAGGACAAATTAGTAAAAATCACATATATTATGTAACACATAGCTAATGAATAATAGACACCCAAATACTTTCCTACTTCCGTTTATTCATTTTGTATAAGAAAACAGGATAAAAATAACTTAAATGAAACCAAACTTTTAAATCTTAACATATTTACCAACAATTTTCTTATCCTATACTTCTATCTGGCAAAAGGAAATTGTATACTGAGTAACAGCAAGAATCTGAATGCCAATTGATTTCCAAAATGGTGCAGTATAATTAGGAAATTCATGAGTCAAATTCCTGTTTATGCCTGTACTGCAAAGGCTAATCATTTGTTTGTTTTCTATAAGAAGGACTTGATTAAAGCCTCTAGCAGCAATAATTAACCCTGTGCTTGAAGGATGCAGACTCAACTAGCACTGTGTGTGCTAAAATCTGTAATTAATGCATAGGAATGCATGTAAATTAACAGATGAGTGTCATTTACACTGATGGTACAAATGCAGGTTTCTTTTTTTGGGAATTACTTCAGTGTTTTCTGCTAACCATTACATACTATAAACTCAGACTGATGTAAACAGCATTCTAACATCTACAAAGAGTCTCTACTTCAGACCATGATCTAGATGAGGGGTTGGCAAACTTTTCTACAAAGGGCCAGATAGTAAATATTTTAGGATTTCCCGACCTTAAAGCCTCTATTGCAGCTACTCAACTCTGTTATTGCAATGGGAAAGCAGTTACAAATAATACATAAACAAACATATAGGCTGAGCTCATTGGCTCATGCCTGTAATTCCAGCAATTTGGGAGGCCAAGGCAGGAGGATCACTTGAGCCCCAAGTTCTAGACCAGCCTGGGCAATATGGTAAAACCACATCTCTACAAAAATTAGCTGGTGTGCTGGTGCACATCTTTGATCTCAGCTACTGAAGAGGCTGAGGCAGGAGGATTGCTTGAGCCCAAGAGGTGGAGGATGCAATAAGCTGAGATCGTGCCAGTGATTTCCAGCCTGGGTGACAGAGTGAGACACTGTCTCAAAAAATAATAACTAGATATATAAATATATAGCTCCCTCTCTCTCTCTCTCTTACTATATATATATATATATATGGCTATGTTGCAATAAAACTTTATCAAAAAATAGGTAATGAGCCAGATTTGGCCTATACACCATAGTTTGTTTAACCCTGAGCCATAGTTTGCTCATCCCTGACCTAGATTCTAATTATTAGGTAATACAGCATACTGTATAATCTTAGAAAATCAATATTTATAGATTAGATACGGGCACTGAAATATAAACCTGATGTGAAAACCTGACAAGTTTCTGAACTTAAGTTAGTCTCCCTCCTCACATAAAATTTAGATAAAACATGACAGACTGAATTTACCACGACTTTATCGTAAGAAACAAGTGACTCCAAAATATGAAAGTACTTCAGAAAAACAGATATATATATATATATATATATACACACACACACACACACACACATCTTTACTTGTAAAGTATTATTATTATTATTATTATTATTAATTGGTCATCTTTTCAGCTCTATGTTTTAAGGCACCTAGAGGACTCACTTACTCTGGAATGACCATAGAGGATACAAACTACACAAAACATACTCAGAGCTGATCCAGTAATGCTAGAATTTAAGAAACACCTGGCAGACTTAGGATCCCATGGGGCTGCCATGTTAAGGAAGCAATTTCTAAAGTCAGACCCAAGGTACACTAGTCATGAGAGATGTCCGTCAAGAAGTCCTTCACCAGTAAGTTTGGAAATGCTGCATACGACGCTATGAACATGAGCTTAATTACACTATGAGCATTAGTACTAAAGAGATATTTGTCAAAAAGTTCTTGACAAATAAGTGTGGAACACTTACACCTATTTCAGAGGCTCACAGTGAATTATTATAAACTTAAGATGCTAAGATGTCCTGCATAAACTGTGCACCTTTGTCCAATTTCCCAAATGTGTATCTATTGAGATTCTTTATCTTGTGGGTGAAGCCAATTAACAGAGCTCCCCAAAACTAACTTTGAGGAAAGCTTTCATATAGATTATTCTGAACAGTTACATTCTTTCACTCTGGGTGTGAGAAAACTGCCCTACTAAACTTACATTTTTAACCACATAAGAGCAAAAACACTCATTTAGGTATTTACTTACATTTAATTTGTCTGTCATTATAATGGAACTTTTACTTATAAACAATTTTATGGAACCCAACCAAATTTATAAAATTATTTAAAGCAGTATAAAAATTACACTCACCTCAATATACTTTAAAAAAACGCAAGACTTATTCCAAACATGAAATATTTCTGATTTAAACTTTAAAAAATCACAGACAGGTATCTACTGGAGCACTATCAAGACACAGTGACTTAAATAACTTTGTGCTGAAGGCACTAAAAGCTATTAAATCCAAACATTTGTTGCTTTTGCTGAATATTGCTTAAACTGTCCATCAGGAAAGAAGGTTGAAAAATAACTGCATAGTTCATGACTTTCCTATATATGTGGCTTTCTGATTATTGGGTTTCTTCTGGTGGCTTTTTCACAAACTATTTAATCAAGAAAGGCAATCCTATTCTTACTGGGCAGGGAATAGCTAAGTAATGATTTCTCTTAATTCCAAATGTTTCTTTCATTTGCAACCAGAAATTTCTTACATGACAAAGACAAACATTTTTGTCCAGTCATGTATTTTGATATAGAAGTTGAATCTCCCTTTGGAGCTAAACATAAAAATTAACCAAAATCAACTCATATCAAAATCAACATGATACCCTTTTTCTAGCATTTAGCAGTCTAGCATAATCCCTGACATGTACTACGCATTCAATAAATGTTTGGTGAATGAATAAATGAAGAAATGAATCAGACATTTGTCAAATACTGTAGTTCAAATATACAAATACTATTATTTTAAAATAATTTATATTGAATAATTTAAAAATATATTCTTAGTCCAAATATCCAATAATTCAAAAGATCTGAAACAGTGATAATATGTTATTACAGTTATTCATTTCAATATCATAACCATTCTTTTCCCATGCACGGCAATGGAGAACTAAGAAATTTTATTCTAGACAAGATAATATACCCATTCATGATACACAGACACTAGATACATAAAACTTAATTATAGAGCTTAGATTATATTCTAACCAGTGAATATGCTTCTTGTGATTTTTGGACCCTAGAATCCATCAATTAAAATTCAATATCATAATATTCCCTTACAGAGGAATAGGGCACTCCTGCCTTGAATGCTTAGGCAAAGGTACGTATCCAAATAAAACCAATCATGTTAAAGCTACGAAGGGTTTCCCTCATTTCCAGTGAAATAGACATGTATAATATCTACTTAACAGTACACTTGCAAATTTTTTCACATTAGTGAAAAGGGAAAAACTTGTTTTCTCATCACGCTGAGTATCAATTTGATAAGTTTACATAAGCCACAAAATATTGGTTTCATTTATTCAGACAGATAATATGGTTCCTACCATATTCCATTGCCATTTATGAAACATTTGCTTATCTCAAAATACATTAAAAAATCCTTCCCACATAATCCTGGCAAGTTATTTATTTTATTTTAAAATATATTAATATTTCAGAACACACTTCCCAGGACATCCTTACAACGCATATGGCACAGACACCACATTTCTTCAATAAAAAATAAAAGCCATTTGTCTCTAAATACACTTGAAAAGATTTCTTGAGGTAATTTTTGTTTTCTTTACTCTCAATGAACAGAATTATTAACATCTGAATATTGACAACTTTTTAATCATCAAACGTCCATTATATATTATGGCAAAATTAATAAACTGTAACATGGCAATTTAGATAGATCCAAAATTTCACAAATGATATAAGATATTGTTCTAAGTATTTATACACATAAATCATTGCTAATCCCTGGATGCCTTTTATAAGTAAAATAGCCAGATAACAAAAGAAGCAATAAAAAACACACTTAAAATATACTGTGCAAGGAAAGTACAATTGAATGCTTTTAAAAATATCAGTACTCTGGGCAGGTTAATATTTGCCAAAATCGTTTGCTCCTTTGAGGTTTGCTGGTTGATCTGAATTTATTGGAGTTCATTTCATTGCTTTAGAACTCATTAGCATTAGAATTCTGATGATTGAGGGAGCAGCTAATACATACTGCCCCATTTAATCTTAGAGTAGGCTTCTAAAATAATAGTAAGAATTAACCACTTTGGAACCTCAGAGTAGCCATATCACAGGCAAATGTCTCTTTCAGGCAGTCACTAATTGAGCCCAGTTACTTTTTATTTGTCCTTCAAGATACCACACTGCATAGAGCTTATTTGGAAGTCTAATTTTTTGTGAGAACTACTAGGTTATTTACAAGTAGGGACAATGAAACAGACACACTTTCCCTTGGAGACTTTCCAGAATACTGTGAGTTTCCTGAATAGGTATTTCCATGAATTCAATATGGCTTATCCACCAATTTTGGATCTGGTGGAATACACCAAAATAAAAAGGCTTACTACAAAAGCTGACAACCAGGGAGCAGAAAACTGCTAGATCTGTTCTATAAACCCAAGGAAATATATATAATTAATTAGTCCAGCATTTGTTAATAAGAAGACTGTTCTTAGGACTGTCCTATTAAAAGTTGAGTGAGAGGAACCTGAAAATACCTTTGTCACTATTTTGTCCAATTCACTTAAATTATATACATAAATTTTATTACATATTCTTATCTCCATAATAACATGTGGGGCTCAAAAGAAAGGGAAAACATTCACTATATTCAACCATATAATACTGAGTTGAAATAGGGATTTAGTTAAACAAAAAGGATGAAAGTGTTGCTGGTTTTAAATGTGTCTAATTTAGTTACTTACCTTTCATATCAATTCTGATGTTTCCAAGAGTCAGATAATGGCATCAAGAAATAGACTTGGCTGAACAGTCTACACATACTCATACTGAAACATACTCTTTAAAAATATTATTAATAAAGTTAATAAAATCAAAATGAGGAATACAAGGGACAGAGAAGGCCACAATTCTGATACAATAATTCTGCTTCATCTCTAGAATGAAAAAATCATTCTCACTCTCATTCTTCCTAGTGCAATCCAGACATCCTGCAAAGTTTTCCCATGGTACCACGTTTCTGAGCATAATACATGGTGTGGTTTCATTCCTACTCAGGCCTTCATTCTCCCAGGAGCTTCTTATTGTTTTTATAATAAAAGTATCTTCTGACTTCTTGGAAAAACTAGGAGGTCAAAATAAAAACTTTTCCCAGAAAGCTTTTACCGGCACAGCCAGAACTTGCTATAAACTAATATTTGCTACCTTTGTATTTCATGGGTTAGATATTCCCACAGATGAGTGGTTCCAGAGCCACACACAGCCTTTTCTTGGTATTATATGTCTCATCTATTTCTGTTGAAAGTGTGTATGTACAAGGAAGATTTGGGGAAAACTACAATTTGACTGGAGTTTGTACCATCCCCTGGGTATCATGCTAACTTACATAACTGTGAAGGCAGGAGGAGATTAATTGAAGTAAGAATATGTGTGCAAGTGCTAGCTATTTGCTAAGCAGAATAACAACACTGGAACTATCTCCTGGCCTGATGTTTAGAGCAACATATAAATGCTCTCAAAGCTTTTCCACTTGTTTCTTTTTTTCCATAGTAATCTGGGAAAGTGGTTGCATTATTTCCTTTTTTTCTGGATTCTACAAATCTTTTAAAACATGTGTCAAGGTATTAGCTTCATAAATACTTCAAGTAGGAAAACTATACAGAAGGGAAAATAGAAATGTGTGGACTTTGGAGATTGCAATAAAAAAGAAAAGATAAAAACATACATGTCAAATTATATATCTAGTTATTTTTTAAAATCAATTTATCAGAATACCCATTTGACAATTTAGGCTGGCTTTCACTGGAGAAGCACATTAACTCAGTTAAGTGTCTGAATTTCTTCCGTTAAAGAGAAAAAGAAGGCAAAGTCAGAAAATCACATATTAACAATGAATTGAAGACTGTACTGGGGCGTGCATGTATCACGGTTTCTCACCTTTGTTGCTATTAACATTTTGTATCGGATAAGTCTTTCTTGGAAGGGACTATTCTGTGCATTTTAGAATGTTAAGTAGAATCCCTGGCACTAAATGCTACTAGTGTGCCCCGCCCAAATTCACCCCCAATTCTAAGCTGAAAAGCAATAATTTTTGTAACATTATTTCGGTAACAACATTTAACAGCATTTTGGTAATAATAAGCAGTCACACAGAATGTGAGTGTAAGCGCTAGGGTCCATGCTAATAACTTTTTACAAAGATACCTTGTTTATTAACCACAGAAACAATAGCTTTAGTTCTAATTATCATCTCCATTTTACAGAAAAGAAAACAGAGTCTCAGAAATATTAAATAACCTGAGAGTTCTAGTCTGTAATCAGTGGTCAGTGAAATTATGTCATGGCTGTTTGGAAAGCTAATATAACAAGACATTTCTTTCATGGAAAATGGCAGTGGACTGAAATTTAATCAGGGCCTCTGTTCTGACCTCAGCCAAAAAATGTGAGGTCCCTGTATGTCAGTAGTAATATACTGGGAATTAATGTATTAGATTGTATTCAATTGCTCAAGGACAGCTGTTTGAAACAATGTATTAGAAAGAATAGGTTACAGCTCAGGATAATTCCTTGGAGATGTGCCTTGGGGGCAACCTGAGGGACAAAAGGGGATGAGATGAGAGGAGATGAGATGAGAGGAGTACTATATCTGAGGCACAAAGCCTGTAAATCTGTGAATGCATATGCATATATGGATTTCACAGGATCAGAGAATGTGCTGACCTTTAGTGGGTAGGGGTTGGGGTACTAAACGTCCCATAATGCAAAGGACAGTACAGTATGCTCATTGAGCTTTCAAATGTCCCGCCAGATACCCAACTGGATGAATAACTTGTGTATAATTATCTGAGCCTAGAACCTAGCTTTAAGTAAATTGAACACCAAGTATTTTTGGCACACCTTTATATAGTTCACTAATTTTTTTTCAGAATACAACAACTATGCAAACCTGGAGGAGTTTAAAATATATTTGGTTTGGAAATTTACCAAGAATTCCTCACTATTTCAAAAAAAAATGTCACCAACTGTAACATCTCTCATAGTATGAGTCACCGATGTAACACAGCTCCATTAGTGTGCAAATGTAGCTTCATATTCATGCTTCTTTTAGGTAAAAGCAGCTGCCTACCTCACTATGTCTTCTATTACCCTCATGCCTGAACATCTGCATATTGAGATACACAGAATTTTATAAAAATATGTTTCCTCATATTTTTCCTTCATATTACCATTATGGAATTATAGTGATTTTAAAAATAATATATGTTATATAATCTATGTTATCTATCTCATATAACTGGATTATCTATGAATTTCATTTTTAGAGTAGCAAAACTGTACATGAATAAATATATATATATATATATATATTTTTTTTTTTTTTTTTTTTTGAGACGGAGTCTCGCTCTGTCGCCCAGGCTGGAGTGCAGTGGCGGGATCTCGGCTCACTGCAAGCTCCGCCTCCCGGGTTCATGCCATTCTCCTGCCTCAGCCTCCCAAGTAGCTGGGACTATAGGCGCCTGCCACTACGCCCAGCTAATTTTTTGTATTTTTAGTAGAGACGGGGTTTCACCGTTTTAGCCGGGATGGTCTCGATCTCCTGACCTCGTGATCCGCCCGCCTCGGCCTCCCAAAGTGCTGGGATTACAGGCGTGAGCCACGAATAAATATATTTTATAAAAAGAATATACTGAATATGAGACCCTGTCAAAAATTCTATCTTTTCTCACACATACAAATACAAGACAATTATAAACTTAATAAACATTATTTATAGAATTGGACCAGATAATTTAAAGAAAAGAGAATTCTACAATGTAAAACCCTTTAATATAAGCTGTTTTAATAATTGGAAAACAGAATGAATAATGTTTTTGTTTGTCATGCCCAATTATTTCAACAAGTTTTTATTAATAACTTGCTACATGGTAGGCACAGCTGTAGGTGTTGGAGATATAGAGGTAAACAAGTCTGACATGATCTATGCTACCACGGAGTTCTTATTTTCAAAGTGGAAGGTAGAAAATAAATAAAAATGAACTAGAAGAGCAAAGTGCCTCTGATGAGCATGCAGAAGCATGTTTCAAAATGTCTGTGGTGGGATAAATAGATCAGCAACACACCAGGCCATGCAATTTGGCAGCAAATCACTTCTGCAGTCTAGCTGCTGTTTTTTCTACTCTGAATCATACTCCCCCTTTCGTCATCTATGCCAGATTCCACTGAGCTTCAACCCTACCCTCCCATTTTACATACGTTGCCATTTTAATTAATTAAGTGGAAAAGTTTTGACCCATCAACCAGAGCTCAAGCTGCTAGAAGAAGTGAATCGTTTCTTATGCTTCTTTGTGCTCCATTGTGTCCCCAGTAAAGTGGTGTACACAGGAGGTAATCCATAATGATCAATATATATGGAGGAGAAAATACTAAGAGAGAGGAACACTGTCACCCTGGCAAGAAAGGGCAGGTGAATGGGAGACTGAATGGGAGATTTAAGAAGTAGACTCTGACTCTCCCTTAATAACTTATTTCCACTTCCTGATGGAATTGCACAATAGGATGAGTATAGACCCATTATGAATAGCACATCCATTGAACAAAGTTGAAATTCTGATTTAGCCATTTATTATTGTAACCTTAGGCAAATACCTCAATGTCTCTGAGTCACACTTTCCTAACAGAGAACAATGAAAACCTAATGAGGTTGTTACAACATAATGCTTCAGAAGCCCATAACAAATTGTCTGGAATATAGTAGTTAAGTCAATAAGTATAGTTCATTTTCAGTTCACTATTTTAAGAGTTGTGCTTTCATAACTGGCAACAAATGGTATAAGCATTTTACGTCATCAGGACATATCAAACACATCATACATCATGTGAACTCCCTAAAAATTGAAATTGAAGAAAAAAGCTACAACAAGAAAAAGTAGTATTACAGTATTTCTATGTTCAAGTGACAATTTTTTTTTTTTTTTTTTGAGATGAAGTCTCGCTTTGTCACCCAGGCTGGAGTGCCATCGCATGATCTCGGCTCACTGCAACATCTGCCGCTGCCTCCCAGGTTCAAGCGATTCTCCTGCCTCGGCCTCCCAATAGCTGTGATTATAAGTACCCGCCACCATGCCTGGCTAATTTTTGTATTTTAGTAGAGACGAAATTTCACCATGTTGGCCAGATTGGTCTTGAACTCCTGACCTCAGGTGATCCACCTGCCTCGGTCTCCCAAAGTGTTGAGATTAAAGGCATGAGCCACCACGCCCATTCTCAACTGACAAATATGAGTCACACCAATTGTCATTACATGGTATATTGTAGATAGGTTAAAAGTAAAATCAAAGGGACAAAATATAGAGACCAATTGAATAAAAAACTTTTCATAGCTGAATCAATACTTTCTAAGCATTCAAGGTAGGAACTCCTTAGCCCCCACCCTCCTAAATAAATGCACATAAAAGCACACACCCTTTTTAATGGTACTAAAAGACCTAGAGTATACATTTTAATGAAGTTAATCACTACTTCCTCTCTCTGAGTAGAAATAATACATATCACATATAGGAATTATATATATCAAATCTCACTCCTTATTTTCATTATATCTTGTTTCTCTCAGGATGTTTTCTTTCTTCAAATGAAAGTCAAACAGTATGATATTACATTACTGCTCAACTTCAGCTTTAATACAATTATTTTAAAGCTATTCAACCAGTTCTTTTGAAGGGATGGCGTTATGTGGACCACCTTGTATAAACTTCAATTCTCAAGCTCTCTACATATTGCTGTCAACATTCAGTTCATTGCAGAGCTTAAAGAGTATACTTCACTGATGTAAATGCTACTCACACAGAGTCCAACCCAGAGCGGGTTCAGCCATTTATGGGGCAGAACAGGGACATGCAGGAATTAGGGCATAGACAGACTCACTTGAAGGGAGTAAGCAATCAAGAAAGTTCCAGCAGAGCTGGGAAAGAAACCTGAATGGGTAGATAGGTAGTCCAGGCAGTATGCTGGTACGCAGTAGGCACAGTTCAAAGAAAGAAGAGAAGCAGGCAGGGAAGCTGGAGGAATAACCTTGGACAAAAGAGGTTTGGTCAGAGGGCCTGGCATGCAAAGCTTACTTCCAGTTCTTTATAAACTGTGAATCAAGGCAGAGTTGGAGTTTCTATGAATTAGGTACTCAACAGGAGCTTCTTCACAGACGTCCTTATTACTAAAACCAGAATTCACTGTCAGAACTGGAATGGCAACATGAGAGACTTGATGGTATCACCAACTGGGTCAGGATGCAGGATGGTTCCAGGACCTGGAGAGATTGGTGTACAGCATTTTTGCTATAGGAGATAAACAGATTTAGCCAAGAAGACCAACTCAACTGGCACTTACACATGGGGTGCAGCAGGTGAGGAAGACAGCTGGGAAGATAAAAAAAGGGAAAGAAGCAGGTGCAGGGTGTATTTCCTTCATTTCTACTCATCTCTCTCTCTCTATCTCTCACACACACACGCACACACAAACTCTTACATAATTGTCTGGTTAGGGAAGTAACATTTTAATTCACAGCTGACATGGGTCACTATTCATACAATAAAACATATAAAGTGGAGGCTGCAAATAATTATGTACCAGAGATTCTGTGAGCAGGATGAAAACCATAGTTCACAAAACTGTTAGTAAATAAAAAACAGGAGAGGGACGGCTGGCCCTGACTGTCACCAGCTGTGTATAGTCACAGCTCTTCAGTGGAGTTCAAAGAGTAATTACAGAGGAGTGAGTTAAATTCTGTAACTGCTGGTTACACAGCATTTAATGCAATGATCCATTTAGCCATCATGCTCCTTCTTTAAGAGGAAAATTTTAAAGCAGGCTTTTTAAAAAGTGACATTGAAAATATGGCAGCTTAAAAGTAAATTTTATTAGTAAACCACATATGAAAGCTTTGAAATGTTCCCTTAAGCTATGTCAAAGGATCATAAATAAGTATAACTGTCAACAGCAGAACAGTGCCATTTTTATATATGAGTAGAAAGCACAGAGAGGTTAGGCAACTCATTTATGCCAGACAGTTAGATAACAGCAAGTTGAGATTGAAAGCAATTCTCTTGGATGGATACAGTGAAGCTGCCTTTCTTTTTTACATTTCCCAAGAACATATTTAGAGAAAATGCAACACTTCATTCTCAATCATAACTTAGCACAGAAACTGCCAAATAGAAAGTGTTTGATAATTACTGAGGGGGGAATGATTGAATTTATAAATGAATAAATTATACAGCCTCTCCAACAAGTTCTGTAGCTACAGACTGGGGAGGACAGTCCGTTTTCCCAGAGTCTGCCGGGCAGCAGCTGGGTTAGCAAAACACATGAAACATGTTTGTGAGAAAACAGCATTGGAAAACTAGTGCCTGGCTCTACCCTAAAAACTCAGATCCTCTTGAGGTATGATTCTTTTTTAAATGTCCAGTTAGTTCTTCCAGGGAAGCAAGGCTAATACGGTTGTCTCCCTTATCCACATTTTCACTTTCCAAAGTGGCTGTTACCAGAGGTACACAACAGTAACATATTTTGAGAGAGAGAGATCACATTCACATAATTTTTATTAAAATATATTGTTATAATTGGTCTGTTTTATAAGTTATTGCTGTTAACCTCTTACTGTGCCTATTTTATAAATGAAATTTTGTTATAAATATGTATGGATAGGGAATAACATAGTACACAGGTTTTAGTACTATCTGCAATTTCAAGCATCCACTGGGGGGCCTTGGAACATATTCCCCTCATGTAAGGGGAGTAATCGCTATACATAATACTAGCTACTTACTCACTAACGTGATGGGCTTAAAACAAATACACTTTAAAAGTAAGATTTAGCTGGGTGTGGTGGCTCATGCCTGTAATCCCAACACTTTGGGAGGCCAAGGTGGGCAAACTGCTTGAGCCCCAGAGTTCAAAACCAGCCTGGCCAATGTGGCAAAACCCTGTCTATACTAAAAATACAAAAATTAGCTGGGTGTGGTAGTGCATGCCTATAGTGCCAGCGACTCAGGAGGCTGAGGCAGGAGAATCACTTGAACTCAGGAAGCGAAGGTTGCAGTGGGCGACAGAGTGAGACTATCTCAAAAAATATATAATAATAATAATAATAAATTTAATTTAAAAAATAAAAAGCAAGATTTAACATTTATAGAGCTTAATCATTATTTCGTTTACTGGCCTAAATGCCTTACAGATGACATTCATCCTAACAAACTCAATGAGGAGGTAATATGGTCAGCCCCAGTTTACATACACGGAAGCTCAAGGATGGGAAGATCAGGTCTTTTCCCCAGAATGAAGGAGCAGAGGGAGTTTGAAACCAGAGCTGACACTTTTACCACACACAATAGTATCCATTAATATGAAGCAATAAGGATGCCATGAAAGATGGAATTGGGAGTATGTGGGGTTAGAATAAGTTAGCTAAAATGTTCTCTATGCTTGGAATGTCACGGTAGTGACTACCAAGGCTTCTTTGTACAATACTCTTTTCTCAAGATTTGTGCCCTTGGGTAAATCCCTATTCCATGATTAAAAATAAAAATTCAGTAAAAGAACCTGTTGGTCAAGATGATGCAAGCAGACATCAAGATAAACCTGGTTTCAAATTTTGGCGCTGACACTTATTAGCTATGTGTCCTTGAGCAAGTTATTTAATCTCTCTCAGCTTCATTTTCAGGATATAAAAGGGGAATCATAATAACTTACATAAATTTTTTATGAGGTTATAAAGTTCTGAACCAGGAGCCATTACGCCCCATAAGGCATTTTTGGTTATCATAACTGGGAGTGGATATTACCGGCATTTACTGAGTAGAGGCCAAGGATGCAGCTAAATATCCTGCAATGCACACAATAGCCCTACAACAAAAATTTACCCAGCACAGAATGCCAATAAAGCCAGTAAGCTGACAAATCCTTAAAGAAATACATTTGTGATATCCCTGGCATAATATTAGTAATCAATAAATGATTCTGCGGCTTTATCATATGTATGAAATTTGTGAAGTAATTTAGGCCAAAGTTTTAAATACTAAACACTAAAGGATTCTTATTCCTTCTTTAATCCAGAAGAGAAAAAGTGATTTATTCTTAATTACTTTTGTCATGTTTGATTTCTTGTAAAATATTGTTTTTTCTGATTCTTCCCCACATTAAATGAAATTATAATACATTTCAAATGACATTTAAAACAATTCATAAGTTAAGCTATCATTCTGGCCCAGAAGTCTTGGTGGCTTATAAATGATTTATAGTATCCACTGAGAACAGTGGAGAATATTTTAGAAATGAAAATAAAAAACAAGGGATCATTCAAGAGTTAGCTTTTTTTGTAGTGGAATCATTCCACCCCTCTCTATTGTCTAAGGAAGTAAGTTGCAGCACATCTTTAAGAAAATGCTACAGATCAGAATCCTCTGTTTATTTGTCTTGCGCAATTGTCTCAGTGCCTTTCTGGGCCAAAGTTTTGTTTCGCTTTGTTTCTGAAAGCATCAGTCCTGGAAATGGGACCATTTTCCTGGAATATTTGGAAAGATTTTAATCAGAAAGTGTGGTCAAGGGAACGAGAGATTCCTATGTTCAACAGAGAAGACAGCTGCAAAATAAAACTCCTTGCTTTGGAGCTCAACATTAATAAGCTTTCTGTGTACCCAGTAGAATTCTAGATACAAGTATAAGCACCAGAAACTCTCAAACGACACTGGCTTTTGTAAAATAGGATCTCAAAGCCTTCATTTCAGCTCTCAAAAGTTAACATATATACTATTTACAAATTAGTAATTTGCATTCTTCTTTTACCTAGGAACATGTCTTTACAAAACTACTATTGGTGAATGCTTTTGTAATAAGCTTGTTTTTTTTAATTCATTTATGGAGTATTTATTGATATTTTTATAGAAAGTCAACTGGTTTTTGTGAATTGATCTTGTATTTTGCAACCATGCTGAACTAATCAGTTCCACTTTCCTTAGCCTTTTCTGTATGCAAGATAATGCCATTTGTAAGTAGAGGTAGTTGTATTTCTTCCTTTCTAGTCTGGATACCTCTTAGTTTCTTTTCCTTACCTAAGTGCCCTGGCTAGAATCTCCAAGACAATTCTGAATGGAAGCAGCAAGAGTGAGCATTCTTGTCTTGTTTCTGATTTAACGGGAATGCAGTCAGCAATCATTCAGCAGCTGTGTGATCTCAGCAGCTGTGTGAATTTCATAAATTTTCTTTATTAAGTTGAGGAACTGTCCTTCTATTTCTAGTTTGCCATTACAACGATTTGTTTCCAAACATTAAACTAACATTGCATTCTACATCCTACTTAATTATGATGTGGTATCATTTTTAGATTTTGTCGTAGTGTCTTTGCTAAATTTTTCTTCAGAATTTTTGTGTCTACATTCATGAGATATGATCTATAGTTTTTTAAGTTATTTTGTCTAACTTTGATGTCAGTATAATTTTTAAAACAGACAATAACAAGTGTCGGTGAAAATGTGGAAAAATTGCTGATTTTTCTTATCATACACTGCTGATAAAAATGTAAATGATGCAACCCCTTTGGAAAGCAGTCTGGTAGGTTCTTAAAATGTTAAATATACAGTTACCACATGACCCAGTGATTCCACTGTCATATACATACTCAAGAGAACGGAAAATATATGTTCACATAAAAACTTGCTTATAAATGTTCAAAGTGTTATTCATAACAGGTAAAATATGGAAACAACCCAAATATCCATCAACTGATGAATGAATGAATAAAATATGCTATATTCACAAAGTCAAATATTATTCAGCCATAAAAAGAAATGAAGTACTAATACATATTACAATATTAGGACATTATGCTAAGTAAAAGAAGAGAGTCCCAAAATGCCACATCTTATATGATTTCATTTGCATGAAATGTCCTGAACAGGTAGGTCTATAGAGCTATAAGTAGATGAATAGATGCCAGGAACTGGGGACAGTGAAGAATGGGAAGGACTATAAATGGTTGTGGGTTTCTTTTTGGATAATGAAAATATTCTGGAATTAGCATGACAGCTGCACAATCTTCGGAATATGCTAAAATCCACTGAATTGTACACTTTAATTTTATGGCATGAGAATGATATATCAAGTTACATGTTATGCACACATACACACATATGCACACACATCTATTGCTGATCTCAGTTTCAAGAAACATGGAAATTAAAACTAGAAATAACATTTCTTGATAGCTCATGTAAACATGCTGTTTTAACAAATGAAAACTTGAGATACAGAGAAGTTAAATGACTTGTCCAAAATTGCAAAGTTATTTATATAAAATTTCAAAAAATTACTTATAGTCCTGGACTGCTTCTATAACCATTTTCTTATACACAAAAATTCTCCGATGTTGAAATCATTAAAACAAAAACAAAGTACTACTTTGACTCTTCCACTGTTCTCAAAAGAATTTTTTTTTTCATGTCATGTTGCTTTCTCTTAAGTTGTATGAAATGTCCTGGGACTCCTCTTATCTAACAGATGAAAAAATAAACATTAAAGATCAGGTATTTATCTCCATAAAAAGGTTAGCGAGAAAGAGAACAACAGATCTGCCTCCATAAGGCATTAATTTTCCATATCAGATGGAGACAGAAGCTCTTCAAAGGACTTAACAACTTTTTCCCAGCTTTCTTTCTCTCCTCATCCCTCCCTCCCTCCCTCCCTTCTTCCCTCCTTCCCTCCTTTCCTTCCTTTCCTACCTAGCAATGTAACTTTTCTTAAGTAGTCCTCTCTTCTTAGGGTAAATGTACTCCGCATTTTAAATGATTTGAAACCTACCAAGGTCTGTTTTGACCTAAATAATGGAGGCTTAAAAAAGAATTATTACAGAAAATAAGCACTGTGGTAAACCCCAAGCTGGTGAAGTTGGTGCACAACAAGAGAGACATATTATCACCTACATGGAGGAAGTATATATGACACCCATGGAAGGACCACACAAATCTATGAATTTCTAGACCTTGCTTCCTCTCAGGATTTACCTTTAGCTTCTCAGGCGTGAACTTGCAGAAGCTCTCTGCCAGAAATGAGTGCTCAGAGTATTATTTACACTCTGCCTCTGGGCCTATATCAGGGGACTGCAAGGGCTCTTCTACCCTGTATGTTAGCAGACAAGATGTAAACGTTTAACCAAAGCAATAAAAACAAAAAAAAGCAAACATACATCAAAACCAAAATTGTGTATTTCCAAGAAAATTACTATTCTCTACTGAGTTCTCACAAATTAACTTGTAACTTCATAGTCAAAATATGATATAAAGCTAACATAATTTAAGCAACTGTCTCTGTTAATCCTTACATTGGTCTCATTACCACCATTTTCGGGTGAGTAGTATATAAGTTTTTGTAAAAATTAGGTAACATTTGGAACAAATGAACACGTGACTTTTTTGCCTACTCTCTATTTACAAATATGCTGATACAGAGATAAGACTTTAAAGATTATATGTCCATTGACAGAGAAATAATTATTTATTCCCATCCACTATGATATTTGTTTCTCTCGATAATCCTGTGAATTGACTCAAGCATATATGATAGAGGCCCATTTACACATAAGTACATGATAACATGTATTCAAATTACTGGGAAATCTTGTTAAAATGTAGATTATTTTTCATTAGGTATGGACCTAAGATTCTGCATTTCTAGCAAGCTCTCAGGTGATGCTGATGCTTCTAATTCTCATATCACACTGTAAGAAATAAACACACTCTAACCACTAGAAAAAAAAGGGTTATATATGAGATGGATCCATCATTTGTTTTAAATAATTGTACTATACTGACCAAGGCTATAGATGTTGATCTAATCATATGGTTTATTGTCTTCCACAACAACAACAACAAAAAACCCAACCAGATGCTAGGAAAAAAACACGGACTTTTATAGACAGAGTAATGGGGAATACTTAAATCTAGGAAGTTAAATTGAAAAAGAAAGGCTATAATATGATTCATTTGAATTAAGCTAAGCTATTTGGAGAAAAATCATTGTAATATCATCAATCAGATCAGATATTTTAACCAATGATTCTAGTCCCTCCAAGAGTACTCTCTGCTTCTGGCCCAAAATGACCCCAAATGGCAATCCAGACACAGCATTTGTGATGTTGAATCAGGGTCAACAAGGAGGGATTTTGTTAATTCCTTTCCTCATAATATTATCATTTGTATATAGATACATACAACCATATTCTCCACAAAATGGGTTAGTATACCATCTGTTATCTTAGAAAATCTAGACGCTTTTCTATTAGCTATTACAACTGAGAATAATTTCTGGACTAGGCCTGCTAGTTAAAAAAAAAAGAAGAAGAAAAATTTAAATAAAAAACTAAAGGCAATATAAGAAATCTCAAGCATTTGCAGAATAAAATTGCATTTTACCTTAAAATAACTTTTGCACCAATGAATGATTCTGAGACTGCTGCTGACTATTTTCCAAATTAACAGAATACTCTCACCTTCATTTGTATTGAGAGTTTCCCATACTTGCATAAATAACAAACGGCATGCCAATGTATTCTACATCTGTCTGTTCCACAATTGAGATGTTCCTGCAGTTAATATTAACAAAAGGCGCCTCTCCCTTCGGTCTGTAATTCTGTCACTGTTCTTCCTATCTACTTTCCAGTTAAAATTCTGATTATCTTCCTGAGTATCCCTTGAGGCCTCTTGTTTCTTTTTTAGTAGTTGCTAGGCAAGTTCTATGAGAATGCTTTAAAACATCAGAACAATCCAATGATAGGTATCCTCTTATAGAATGCTTCATGGAAATTTAAACCTGGCCTCCACACATTACAGCTTCCACATTAATGGTATTCTCTATATATTCACAGAGCCAAGTGCTTGGTTTGTTTGTTTGTTTGTTTGTTTGTTTGTTTAATTTCCCAAAGTAACTATGTTCAAGGCCCTGAGACCCAGTCTACAAGCTTATGGGATCTCATTGTCTTATGTCAGCTTTCTTATGTTGATGGTGACTTAACTATTAGTTTTGCCTCTGAAGTTATGATTTTGCTATAAATTGCCTTTAGTTTTTTGAGTTTTCATGAATGTTGATTATAAAAACAAATTAAGCTTCACCAAGAAATCAAGTTGACCAGTTCTGTGTTCAATTAAATTTTCGCTCCCAAATGATCTCAATTTTCCAGACCACAGGTGAATGCTTCCTAAGATTTCATTCATTATCAGTCAACCAGCAAGTACTGAATATGTTCCACATGTTTAGCATTAAAGAAAGCATTCTGAAAAATACAGCCAAGATCATCAGAATTGTGCAAAAATGGCTTAGTCCTGTTGTCTAGGGATTAAGGAATGTCTCTCTGAAGTAGGTTATAGGAATAGTTACTTTACAACAGATTTTTCCCAAGGAAAAGAAACTCTATTTCCTTCACATTAAAAGTACACAAGTGTTGTCTTAATTGTACACAAAGTTGAGAAAAGCATGTGTTGCAAGTGAATAATTTCCCTTTTTGTTCTTTAATCTGACTAGGAATTGCCTCATTAATCTGCCCATTTTTACTTCACCACAACACTTACCAGGATGCTGCTGCCTATTAAGATTGTTCTGATGTTAAAAAACAAACAACAACAACAAAAGAAAAACACTGACTCAGACATGGCCTTTCTAAAGTGGGACAGCTGTCTACCTTCTCTCCTTCCCTTTTCCCTCCTTATTTCCTTCCTTCTTTCTCCCTTTCACTTTCCTCCTTTCATTCCCTGAAAACATTCTATACTGGTCAAATGGACAACGAGGAAAACTATATGTAGCAGTTTCTTTAATGTATCTTTGTATATGCCAAAGTACTTCCACCTTACTATCTTTCCTCCAAATGCTTTATTTTTAATTTTCCCCAATTGACAAATTTATTTTGCAAGTATATAGGTTTGAACTATGTGTTTACACACAAGTGACACAGAGAATTCTTCAGCAGTCATTATTCATGGAGATGTTGCCAGTTTACCTGAATGAGGAAGACACCAGCATTGACATACATGTTTAAGCAAGATACGGTGATTTTTCCCTTGAATATATAAAATAGCAGAGTGACTAACTGATAGTGGTGTTACCTTTAAGCAGATTCCTCTATTCTGTTCATGAAGAATGTATATCTTCCTAAGGAAAGTTGTGTTTGAATAAATGCCTTTCTTCTGTGTATTGAATAACTTAGAAAGTGCTTCTTTCAATTTAGCATACACAATGTTCTGAAAATAGCCAACTCAATAAATATTTGTTTAATGAATTATGGTATCCTTGCACTAGGCATCAGTCCAGTTTAATTTGAGCTCAAATAATACAAACATATGTCATTGTCCTTCTCTTTATGAAAAATAGAGCAACATGCTAATCAGCATTTAATTTTTTGCCTACTATGCAGAAGAATATGAAATGAAGGTATTAAGATCCAGTTATGCTATTTAGTGTATGTTATTTCGACAACGATTACAAAATCTTTGTCATCTCAACTATTGATACATTTGAAATTGTCCAGTGAGTAGAAGGTTTAGACTATGCAAAGGAAAAACCTTTATGCTGTTAATCATCTCAAACTTTCTGCCATTCTAAGTCGCATGTTTAGAGTAAAAGTCAAGTAGTATTTTATTCTTGGCAATGGGAAAACTATGACCGTTTTCAAAATGAATTCCTATGTGTCAGGTGACCACTAAAGCAATAATTTAGTCCCCAGTGTTAGTTTTGTTCATATACTGTAGCATAGAAAATCTGCATTCTGTACCTTCTATTCCTTGAAGATGGTGAACACGAAAATTAAAAGATGTAACTATTTAAAGGATGTAACTTTTTCATTTAAAAGATGTAAACATTGCCTTTCCCTCAAACGTGTCCTATTATGAAAATCTAACTTACAGATATTCAGATGTTTAAAATAACTGTGACCACTTTGTCTCCAAAAGGATTTTGCATTTTGTAAAAGAAAGCACTACAAATTTCTTTTGAGAAACACGCTTCAGTACAATTCATTACACATGAATTTGACAACTTTTCATTTAGACCCAATTTTCTATAGAGATTATCATGTGGCAGATATTCATAAATGCTTTATTTCAGGTGGAATTTTACCTTGAGATACAGCTCCACATAAAAACATTGTTAAATAACCAGGTATTAAATATAGTCCGATTCCAACTTCCATTAAGTCATTTAAGAAAACAATTCCCATTGATGCTTGTCTGAGTGCTCAATATTCTTTTTAAATCAGGGGAGTGAAATATGAAAGTAGGCAACATACTCTGGAATTTTTGTTGAGCCTAAGTAACTTCATTTAAAGATAAAACTGAAATAATAAACATATAATTTCCAGTTTTAAATTTTAAGAGCCAAGAACACATTAGGTGCACTTCTCATTAAACAAATGAGATAAGGATCTATTTCAGTAGCAATTAGGAGAAAGAAGAAATATGAGTGTCGCAACCATTCTATTCTTCCCTCAAATACTATGAAACTTATAACATCACAATTGATTATATATACACACATATGTATATAGATATACGATATATTGTGTCATATGTATTTACAGATGCAATACATAACTATTTGATTGCAGCTATTTTTATCTCAAGGAGATTTCAAGCTCTTGGACACTAACATTTTTATCTCATGGAGAGACATTACAATGCTCTATGAATGGGGAGTATTAGCTCATTAATATTTAGAAAAATAACAGATTGTCATAAAGTAGATACTATCCTGTTGACCAAATATTTGTATCTCTCCTTTCAAGCATGGAGGAAAAAAAAATTAGGGGGAACATTTTGCAAAATAACCGTTTGATTTTTAAAAAAAATAATAATTTTCAAACTGATGCTTTTAATTTAATAACAAAATAATGTTATTAAAACTTAAATACTTAACATGTAATTTAGAATAATTATCTAATGGCCCAGCTTACATTTACTTTTACTTGAATGGTTTTTAAAAGTTTTGCTTTTTCTATAATTTCATGGAGCTAAAATATTTTATGGATATTTTGATGCCATGCTTATATTTGGCTAGGTAAAACTCACGGTTTTAATGCTGACAAGAAATTAGCAGGTCCTAACAACTTTTATTCACAAATGAATGCATTAATAATCAAAAGAAATAAAGAAAACATTATACTATTTTAAAGGAAACGCTTAAAATTTTAAGAATGTGATTTTCTAGTTAAAATTGACCCTAGTGTTCATTATTTTTTAGGCTTTTTACATAAACTTACAAGATTTTAGTTTTATGTATTTATATTAAACTTTTTACATGAGACCAGTAAATAGCTTACTACTACTTTTTCATGTTATGTTGCCTTCTCTCACCATAGATTTTTGTCTTCCAATTCCTTAAAGTTGCACCTTAGTAGTAAAAAGTGTGTACAGCATTATCAGCTTTTCATATTATTTTACTAATTGCAATAAAAAATAAAGCTCACCTATTTTTAAAATGTTATTTAATTAACCTAGTTATTTTGAACACTTTGTATCCAATATTTTTTGAAAAGTAAGACGACTTTCCAAATTCATTTATCTCTAAAGTACTTAGTATCTTACATGGAAGATAATGACATGTCTGTATGATCTTCAGCTGTTATAAAATGTCAGGTGCTGGAAATTCTTAACAGAGCTGCCCATAAGTCAATTAAATCATGGCGCCACATCAGCTTTTCCCCCAATCCCAAAAGAGTTAAAAAAAAAAAAAACTCTAATAACATCTACAATTAATAGCATTCCTGTAGCCTGTAGGTCTGGCCTGTTACTTTAGTCTTCCGCTGACAATAACGGAGGGCCTTATTATTTTTCCCCCTGAGCATTTATTAGGCATGATGAGGAAAAGGTTACATCTCTGGAAAAGAGCACAATCTTCAACTCTCTTCAGGTTAGATGCTTTAATGGGCATTACATTAGAAAGGCATTCTACACTACCTATTATATTACTTCTCCCAATTAGAAATTCCATTTTAATGTGATTGCCAAAAATTTAGTGCCTGCCCATTTGATAAAATTGAGAGTGGCATTTGCTAAACATCAATTAACAGAAAATGTGAGGCAAATGTTGTATGGGTAGATTGGCTGCCAGTGGGGAGAAATGAATGGGTAGTAATGGAAATTAATGGATAAGGGAAATCTACTTTAATTTCCTTGAAAAATGTGCTATAACAGCTATCTGCATTAATAAATCAAACTTATTGTTTAAAAAGTGAACAACAAGATATTTTGATTTAACAAGACAGCAATCCTTCCAAAATCATAGAACTCACTATCAGGTATCATTCTCTTGGATATATTCAAACTGCAGGCTTTGCTTTGGCAAATAATCTTTCACTATCCTTAGCTCTAAATAAGATCAAACTGTCAATAACCAGGAAATAAGTTGTTAAAATGTCATTCTCCAATTTATCATTTTAAATAATAAAAGTTGTTTTAAGTAAACACGTTTCTTTCCATGTCTATTTTTTAAATTTCTCCTCCATAATATCTTCCATTTTAATCCCACAATAGGCTGTGGCCTTTTGTTAATGCTACTTCAGATACATAAATTTCTGATAACTGAATGGAGACATAAAAAGACATAAAACACTTACATTTGAACTTAAAAGACAATATAGATTTATATGAATTCTTTTATCATTTTATAACTACATTTATCTAAGACTCATTTAAAGTGATTTCAATCTGTATTTGTTTCCTCTAACATTTTTCTTTATAACAAATTTAGTTAATTCCATCATCTCATCTGAATTCTATGATCACACAAAGCCACCTAAATTAAATCCATACCTGAACAGTCTGGGTAAATTCCCCATATAATATTTCTTATTTAAAACTTTAGTATTAACTAAGTCTTTTAAGGAAGTATGGGCACTGATTATGTTCTGGAAAACTGGAAGAATATCATTAATCATTAAGAGCCCAAAATATGGAACAGGGCATGTACATTTATAGAGATGTAATGATTTTTAGCACAGAAATTATTTACCTTAAACTAAGTACTAAATGGGAAGAGAGGGCAAAAGGCTGTAAATGGAGAATTCTTCTTCCAGTTTTGCAATTAACAGTGTTAATGTCGAATAAGTAAGTAGCTTTTACCTCTGTGCATTTTGCACTTTTACCTCCTCTGGGCCAGAGGAGGCAACCTGCACCATTTCTAAGGTCTTTTCTAGAAGTTTGATGAGTCTGTGTTATTTCTGTTAGTTTTTCTGCTTATTTCACAGTAGGCTAAAATTATGAATGAAAATATGTAAAAATAAACTTAGCATGGCAATTTTGGCATAGCATAGAGCTCATGGATAATGATTACACTTCTCAATAAAACAGTTAAGAATCTCTCTCGGGGCTAACTTTTTATTTTAGGATATGGGATAATGCTAACGAAAGGACTAGATTAGAAATTTATGATTAAAATAAAATAAGACTAATACTGTTAATAATAAATACTTCTGATAGGTAGACTGGTGATTCTGGAAAGAATGATGGCAAAACTTTTCAGAAAGTTTGGTCCTACCCATTCTCTTTGACTGTCTCCTGCACAAAGGCTTCTGTGCCTCTTCTTTTCATTTTGGTACATGATCCAATCAAGAGAATATGATCCACATCTCAAAGTTTTATATAATGCTTGCAACAATTCTCTACTAATATGCCTATTGATGATACTGTATATTTGTATTCATCTTTTCCATCTTCTCAGATCTCCTACACCCTGTGTACTAACTTAATATCAGCCATTAATAACTGAGTAAATGGAAGTGACCAAAATGAACTCTATTTTCTGACCACCAATTCCACCAGTCCACCTCTATCTGTACCCATGCTCTCTCCATATAATGTTCTTCTCCCATCAGATGTCAAGGTTAACTCTTCTGGTGGTAATCTGGATCCTGGATCCACTTCCTGTTTCTGACTCAATAATTTTGTTTCTGAAACTAAATCACTCTTACAAATCACAAATTATCTCGTTACTAGATCATTCACATCAGCATTCAGAAATGCTGTATTATATTTTCACATTTAATAAAAGAAAAATAAATATCAAATTCCCCTAGTGTTGCCCCGTTTATTTGCTCCTCTTCAAACAAAATTTTCTCAATTTCCTCTTTCCCATTTTCCTCTCAACACATAATAGTTGAGTTTTGTCCCTATTATGTCACTAATCCTTCTGTTTAAAGACACCAGTAATCTCCATTTTGTCAATTCCACTGGTCACTTCTTCGTTCCATGTCGACTCATATCACTCTTCTGCTTAGAGCTTGCCGATAAATTTCTATCTGGTTTAGAAAAATGTCTGAACACCTTAGTCTGGCCTATTTGTCTACTTCTACTGAAACTTCATCTTCTTTTCCACCCTCACCTTCTGCGCCAGGTAAGTCCCAGTAACACTCCAAGCCTCTTCACAATTTAGTGCCCTTGTACTTAGCAAATTGGCCAGTGAAGTGTTCTCCCTGAACTCCACACAGCTATGCCCTTCCTGCCTTTCACTTCTCTTGTCCTCAGAGATACCTTGCCGGATGACGCAACTGAAAGTCAGACATGCTCTTTATACTGTTTTTATTTTCTGCGGAGCACTAATCATTAATTAATATATTAATTCACTGATTTTTTCCTCAATAATATGAGACTTATAAGAAATCTTACTTTTCTTTTGCTTCTTCATTTCCAGTCTAGAACACTGCCTGGCACAAAGAAGGCACTCAAAAAATATTGCTTAATTTTCTCATCTTTGTATCTCAAATGTCATTACACATAGTAAATGATTAATAAATGCTGGTTGGTATTAAATGATTATAAACTCTCTTGATGAATTTACCTACACTATTATTTTATGATGGTAATTTATCAGTGGCTTTTAATAGGTATTAATATCTTTCAGGAAAGATTTGTACTGGAAATAGAAAGTATAAATCAGGAAGTAGGAACTATTTGATCTCTCAAAACTATTTACTATTTAAGCAGTTGTTTCATAAATGTTAGGAAATGTTTGGGAAATAAAAAGAGTTTTAAAATCAGTACATATATCTAAATTTAGGACAATTGAGGCAACTCTTTAATCTATTAATTCTATGACTATATCTAGATCAAAGCTTTGGTTTTAGGGCAAAGTACTGTAGAGGCCAAGGAGAACCTCAGAAGGTTTGCTGAAAAAAATCAAATTGCAAAGTTGATTAATTGGAGAAAAGACAAACACATTTATTTAATATGTATATATGGGAGCCTTCGGAATGAAGACCCAAAGATAAAGAGGAAATTGTCCACTTTTATGCTTATGTTCAACAAAGTATGTACAGCAGTGCAGAAAAAAGGGTAAGAACTAATGCTGATATACTGAGTGGGGAAACCCAGGAAGGTCTATCTGTCTAGACTCTTCCTGGCCTCTTTAAGCCTGCATTCCTTCCTTCTGGGTATAGAACATGACCCCTTCTGGAATGGGAGTTTTAGTACCTACAGTCAAACAAGGTATATCAGATAATTTCTTTATGGGTCAGTTTTTACACAGAAAGGTGGAGAGAAAAAGTAATATTTGTAGGTTTTTATGGCTGGCTTTGGAGAAAAAGGGTTCTAGTTTCTGTGACCTGCCTTGGGGAAGAGGGATTATAGGTTCTATGGCTAGCCTTAAGGAGAATGGAACTGAGAGAAAAGAGGGCAGGAGGTCAGAGAAAAACTTTAGCTTCTGAGGCTGCTGCTGAGGCCTTCATTTGGTGATATTGTTTTCTGAACCCCAACAGTACCCAAAAGCCCACAACCGTATATTTTGTATTATCAGGACATTCTTCACTCAAATCAAAGCATCTGGCATCCCACATTTCACCTAGATTACTTTGGAGTTCCAAGGTACAGCAAAACACATTAAAACCAATTAATAAAGAAGAATAAATTTATATTAAGGTGAGCAGTAAGATGGAAACACCAGAATAACCAAACACTCAAAGGACCTTACAAAAAATTATTCTTGATTCCAACTTTGAATGTTAATCACATTTTAGAGAAAAAATAATTAAGATCAGTTGAAGGAAAGCAAATAATGAAATCTTTAAAGTTCACTACTCTTACAGATTTTGAAAAAGTTAAACAGAGGGTCGTTATGTTTAAAATACGTTGTGGGACTCTATTATTGAATAACAGCCTTTTAATCTTTGCGGTTTTTGCTACTAGATACAACAGTGCTCTTTTAATGATCTAAATCTTTCCATTAGTCTAAAAAGAACAACTTGACCACATTATCCATTATCTTTGTTTCCAGAAATTTACTCTTGAAATTCTTTAAACTTTGCTTTTATATCTCTTATATTTTCTTCTAACACAAGCAAAAATATTTGAAAATCACAATATTTTTTAGGACTTTTTTCTTTATCCTGCAAGAAAAGGTGACTTTAAAATTGTTGCCCTAATCAAGATTTGTGTTGACTTAAAAGGGTCTATCTACAAACTTCAATTTTATATTGGCCTAACATGTTTGAAAATATAATTTTCTTTTGTTTGAAGAAAGTTCCTCAAAATAGGACCAATTGTTTCATATTTCAATATTCACCTCCCAAATTAGTGCATAGTAGACAGCTAATAAACATCTGCAGAATTAGTAACATAAACATAATGCTTGTTAGTGTCAAGTGGCTGAAATTCGATGATTCCAATTTCTGTGTTTAAAACAATAACAGGCCGGGCGTGGTGGCTCACACCTGTAATCCCAGCACTTTGGGAGGCCACAGTGGGCGGATCACAAGGTCAGGAGTTTGAGACCAGCCTGGCCAACATGGTGAAACCCCGTCTCTACTAAAAATACAAAAATTAGCCTGGTGTGCTGGCAGGCACTTGTAATCCCAGCTACTCAGGAGGCTGAGGCAGGAGAATCACTTGAACCCAGGAGGAGGAGGTTGCGGTGAGCCGAGATTGTGTCATTGCACTCCAGCCTGGGTGACAAGAGCAAGACTCGATCTCAAAAAAATTAATAAAATAAAAAATAAATAAAATAAATTTTAAAAATAAATATTTCAGGAAATACTTAAGTTTTCCTTGAAAAACACTCCATTCATCCTCTTTATATTTTTACACACCTTCAAATTCTTTTTATGACATTTACACCTTTCTGATCCCACTTGTAAACACTCTGTAAACATTACACAGTCAGTGTTTAAAAATTTTTTTCATTAAAAATTCTTTCTCAACATAATACAAACACAGATTTACGCATTTACAGGACAATTATTCCTCTCTCATTTACCTTTAAATAGCAGTGTCCCTGCCCATTGCTTACTCTACCAGTTTGATATAATGGATCCTTTGGTGGCAACTACATGCATTTTATTTTCCCAAAGAGAATCTTAATATACATCACTTCCTTCACAAAGAATTTCAGTAAGAGGGAAGAAGAGATATCCTGGAGACTCAAAATATCATTATTAATTGCAACCAGCTAAATCTCTGATAATTTATTTTATTCACAAAAAAAAAAAATTATTTGCTGTGAAACAAAGAATTCTTATTAGGAATTATTAATAAGGTATTATGAACAACCTAAACTTGAAGGTTAAATGTGTGTATATTTTTATATGCCCATTTGGAAAGGTTCATACTTAAAAAAAACTCTCAATACTCATGTTGCTAAATAATAAAGAGGCCATGAAATTAAATAAATACATGTTAATATTAATGCTTTATGTTGGCCTGAAACTTGCTTTATTGTGGCTTTGATCTACTTTTACCCAGGGCTGCCACCAATCTATATGCCACTTTGTGGGAAGTGGAATATGAGTCACCTCCACATAGAGACACAGTGACTTAGAGCAGCGATCCCAAACCTTTTTGGCACCAGGAACTGGTTTTGTGGAGGAAAATCCATAGACTGGGGAGGGGGGTGGTTTCAGGATGATTCAAACACATTTATTTTGCACTTTATTTCTATTATTATTACATTGTAATATCGAATTAAACAACTATACAACTCACCATAATATAGAATCAGTGGGAGACTTAGCTTGTTTTCCTGCAACTAGATGGTCTCATCTAGGGGTGATGGGAGACAGTGACAGATCATCAGGTATCAGATTCTCATAAGAAGCTCACATTGTAGATCCCTCACATGCACAGGTCATCACAGGGTTTGCGCTCTTATGACAATCTAATGCTGCCACTGATCTGACAGGAGGTGGAGCTCAGGCAGTAATGTGAGCAATGGGGAGCGGCTGTAAATACCTGGTTCTCTGGGGGTTGGGAACCCCTGACTTACAGGCAAGACTTGATAAACTGATCACTAGCAGAAAATCAACTGCCATCTGCCTTCTTAGCTAAATGCCCCTGTGCAAGGCACAAAGTTTGTAAATTAACTCAGTGGCCCTGTCCTTTGGATCTAGGACTAAGAATTCATTCCACATGGCAATCTGTACTGGGTATCTTTGTCATGGTGTCTTCCGTGTCTGTTTTCCTTTATCAATTAAAAAAATAACTATGATCTCCTATTCAGAGATCCTTTGCACAGAGTTAGCTATAGAATGTATTATACCAGGAGCAATGACTTAATCCAAATGCATTGCAACTAGAGGCTGACTTGAAACTTTAAAGTGGCCAGGGATGCAATCATCTGTCCCAAATGCAGAACCATTAGCTAAACAAATCAGACCGACTCTCTCAAAGACACTGGCAAACACTGGTCACAGAAAATGCTCAGAGAGGTGCAGAGACATACATGAACTATTCCTGCAGAATTCTTACTAGGGAAGCCAATTGTTCAAGGGCTAATGATTTTCTAATTACGGTATCTATATATGGTTCTCATTTGTCTTAAAGATATCTCAGATTAATCCTCTATTTCTGCAACAGGAAAGGAATGCCTACTAAGTACACAGTCCTTCTTGCTCTTAAAAAGAGTTATCTGATTCGGGAGTCATTCTTTAAGTCCAACATTTCATCTTTCTTCATTAATTAATTATATGTAACAAAAGAGTTACATATAGAGTATATGTATATAGAGTATAGAATTGACACTCAAGCGACAAATAAAAACAATGGTGCTATCTTTGGTGATTTATAGGCTTTAAAAATTATCAGACATCCTTGGGGCAATATAAGAAAATTATATGTATTCATTCCTAGTAGGTAGAAAATTTGTGTTAAACCAAATCTGTATCACAGAAGTTAATTTTTATAATTGTAGCTTCATATTTTTTATTTATCTCAGTCATTATTAGTGGATTTAAAGAATAAACATCATGGTTATAGATTTCTGGCTTTTGTAGTGACTGATTCAATTAACATTATTAATTGAGCCCTGCATATTAAAAACTATGGCATGTAATGTGAGAGTACAGAAAGAATAAAATATGCAGTCCTTGCACTCATGAGATAATACATCTGATGTAAAAAAAAATACTAAAAATCATGAAATTATTTGCACATTACAGAGCAGCCTGAGAAGTGCGTTCTACTCTAAGTGATCCAAGTTTCCCAAACAGAGATCAATGAGGGTGACTCGTTCAAAGCTCCCTAACTAAAATTAACTCAATTATTCAAACTGCCATTTTTTCTCATGATGTGAATACAGTTTTACTATTTCAATAAAAGTTATAGTGATTATTGATAAAGACTTTTGGTACAAAATGCCAGACCAGGGATCAGAAATGAGCTTCTATTCCATGTTATTCTCATTTTGGCCACAATTAACTTACATCTATAGGACAAACACCCAACAGATCTTTAGGCCTGAAAGGCAGAAAGAAACCAGTACCTGGGGATTGTGCCTTTTCAAGCTTACACAGCAGGATATGAAGAAAAGAGGTCATGATTTGTGCTAAAGTAACTCCAAAGAATAACATATTTATCAGAATACAAAACACAGATATACTTGAGGAAAGGCTGACCTAAAATTGCTGACCATCTTGTCTGGTAGTGGAGCTTTTTCTTCACTCTAAACAGTCAGATTTTTAGTCTCATCATAGATACCCAAGATTTCCTGTTCTGAACAAGTCAGCTCTTTATATTTGTGGCATTATCTTACTAAGGCCCTCAATGTAATTCCTGGGTAGCTTTTATCCCTATCTGTTTTTTTTCCCATCTAAAATCTAATCTTCATACCAATATGAAATAAATCTAGCGTAATTGCAATTTGAGAATGTAAATTTCAAGCTCTTAAAAACTACAGTGCCTAATAATTTGCATTGTAACTAAATACATGTGCTCACATACCCACACACTCCCACGACTCATAATTAAATTTCATTTAAAATTTGTTCCCTTACTATATAAAATGTACTTGTATTTTCCATTCCCTTCCATTGTATTTCATTTCATTTCATTCCACTCCATAAATGCCAACCATGAGCCACTGAATTAATTTTATGATCCTCTAAAATAGTGGTTCCCAAAATGTGGTTCCAGGGCCCCCTGGAACACCCAAGACTCTTCCAGGGAATCCACAAGGTTCTTTTCATAAAACTACTAAGATGTCATTTGTCTCATTCACTCTCAACATCTTGCAAATGTATACTAGTGTTTTCCAGAAGCTACATGATTTGATGATGTCATCACTCTGAGAGATAATGGAAAGTATTCTTGTATATTCTTTTCTTTAAATAATTTTCTCAACTTTAATTTCTAATACAGTAAATATTTATAAACATAACCATATAAACAAAAACTCTTTGGGTCTCTCAGTAATATTTAAGAACTTAAAGAGATCAAGAGTCCAAAAAGTTTGAGAACTGCTAATCTAAAGCAAGCTTCCATTTGAAAAACAGTGACTTAAATGGAATCATTGCATACATACACACATACAAGTCTCTTTCCATACTTTTCTATTCTCTGCAAGGCAAAATGCAAACTGGCACCAAATGTCTTACAACAAATTAGCTGTGATTCTACTATTTCCTACTATTCTCTGCTCTTTACTAGGAAACTCCATCTAAGTCCCCTAAATATATAATGTTCACCTCTGCCTTTGAGTCTCATTTTATAGTATACTCTTGAAATATATTTAACACTATTTTCTGCTAACATAAGTCCTATCTAACTATGTGGACATCTGCAATTTCTTTGCTTGCCCTGCGTCCTTTCTTTTTTGGAACTGACCCTTCCGGATTCCTTGAATTCACACGGGAATGCGAATTATGTGGCCCTAACCTTTCATAGGCCTGAGGATTCATACCAGTCAATCAAACTACCCCATACCTTTGGTACTAGTGTGCAGATTACATGGGAAGGGCTAACCCAAGAGCAGTCGAGGGAGATATATCAATGTTAGGGGAAGAAGAAATTGTGTTTTGTTCTCTAAGATTGCTCACTGTTAGGAAGGCAAGGAGAAGGCCAGCCTTATTAAGCAATGGCTTAGGGACACTGTGGCACAATTCTTTTTACATATATATTTTTTATATTTTGTCCCAGTGTCCCCTTGACTAGACATCTGCATATGTCTGTCCTTTGGCATTGCTCCCAATAATGCCTGTGTGCCCTGTAGACTCCCTATTTTCTGATGAGGACTTGTACTGTTTTCAAATGCCTCTCTATTCCCTTTAAGACACTCTATTAATTTACTTTGCAATCAATTATTTTATGTTATTCTTTTTTTTTTTTTTTCTTAGAAACTCACTAGGTGCACAAAGGAACAATTCTGTCTCTGCAACTAAGTGGGGATTCTTTCTTGTATTTCCTAAAACTCTAAAAGAACTCTAATTTTTAATATATTTTTGGAACCTATTTGCTTGAATTTTTTCCCTTGAAAATGATTGACAAATTGAATGCTGTGTTATCTTAACAGTTTCCTTACATCTTCTTTAATTGCTGTGTCATGCACAGTTTTTCTTCACTTATGTTTTGAAGAGAATATGTTATCCTTCCCCCACCCTAAATGTTATCCCTTTTTGATTTGAAAAGGCACACAACTTAAACACATGAAATGAAGATAATTTCCATGCTATTTAATGTAAATTTGGAATCTTCTAAAGTAAAAATATTAGGGGACCAAGTAGTTAATGTCTATATTAATAAAGGAAAAGTGAATACACCACCTCTGTAATGTTAGAAGACAGAAGTACTCGGGAACTGTAACCATGTGTACATTTCAGTAAGATGAAAATTGAGCATACCACAAACAGAAGACAGAAGTACTCGGGAACTGTAACCCTGTGTACATTTCAGTAAGATCAAAATTGAGCATACCAAAAAAATCATCGATTAAATAACATTCCAAATGTCCTCAGCAAGTAGACTTTGTTATGCATGCTTGGGATTCATATTAAGATATAGCCAAAAGAATTCATGATTCCGTTACCTCCTTCAGAAATTGAAAACAATGATCATCAAAGGTCAAAGATGCCTTCTTATGCTAAATTTTATTATCAACAGGTCATTTGAAATTTTGAAGGCATAGCTTAATGTTCTTAGAATTAGCACTTCTTAATTAACCAAACAGCATAACAGAATTATAGAGAGGGAGAAAAACCCTCAGTTAAAATGACATAAATAGTAATTTGTGAAGTTCAATACCTCTTGGTCTGCTAATTATTATATGATGCTTCATTACCATTTAAAATACCACATATAAAAAGAAAAGGAAAGAGAAAGAAAATTTAGAGCACATTCATTATATAATTTTGATTTATTTTACAAATGCAATTATAATCATATTTGGGGGTCAGAGATAATAATTTTGCTCAATATTTCATAAGGAAAGAAAATCTAATTTTTCATATGTAGTCACATTTTAATATGAGCATATTTTATATGTGATACATAATATTATATACATAATTTTACATATGACTGGCAGAATTTCTGCATTATATATACTTTTTATGAATCACTTAAGTTGGTTTTTAAAAACACAACTACATATACCAAGACCACATATGCCTCAGTAAGAAGAAGTATGAAATTATTTAAACTCTCATTCAGGAAACACTACAAGTTTAAATGAAGTAACAGAAAGTTACTGCAGAATAATCTCTCTATTCAACAAAAATATTACACAGTTTGAAAGTAATGTAAGTGGGTCCACCACATTAAACACACTCCTACCCTCTACTGACCTATTTTCTAGACTCTAAGTCAGAGTATGGAATTTATCTAAGTTACTTCAATCCTCTTATCTTTCTAAAAACCAAAGGCAGTATGCATTTATAATGCTTCCTTAACTCACATCACTTCATAAATCTGTTTTCTTAAAAAAAGTCATATCATAAATGAGCATGCAAAGCACATACTGCCTCATTCAAAAAATGTTTAATCATTAGAAATAGGGCATTGCATCTATTATCATTTTTAAAGTGTTAATGTGATAGCAATCTGAAACAACAAATAAAACATCTAAGAAAGGAAAGCTATACACCTTTTCTTCTTAGGATTATTCTCAGTATTGCAGCATGTTGATGGCTTTACTAAACTTACCAGGCTATTTTCTCACCTAAAAGTTGGACATCAGTGGGCAAAATATTGCCCTACTGATACTACAGTGATCTATACATTTTAAATATTCTTTAACTGTTCCAAAATATATATATTCATTTTAAACAAAATAGGAAAAAGAAACAGATATGAAAAAGACATTACCTGTAAGTCCACTGCCCAGAGGAAAATGCCATTAAAACTTATTCTTATACATATTCTTCCAGAGACCATACTCTGAATATGGATATTATACATATATATATATATATATATATATATATATATATAAAATATATATATTATAGATAGATTTGTTTTTAAATGGAATTATAATTTTCCATAGTAAGCTTTATTCAATTCTTAATAACAACAAATATATTTTCAGGTCAACAATATGTATTTGTATAATCTGCATCAATGTTGTTAATGGCTGCACAATATATTTTCAATTACCATACCATAATTCAGTTAAAAATCTCTTACCAGATATCTAATCCCTTTCCTTCCAACTTCTGATACTGTAAACAAAATGTTGGAATAAATATCCGATTACTATAATGTGTGCATCTTTCTTAGTGTTTTGCATACAATGCTTGGCTAATGCAGGGTATCAATGAAAGTTTGTTGCATTAATGATTGGATGGATGAATAAAGTAACAAATGTGGGTTTTTAAAATATCATTTAAAGGAGCACGTCTATTTGATATTCAGATTTTGAGTCAAATCACTTCACACTTCTTTGTGCTTTTCCCCATGAATTATGATAACGAGAAAACATGCATAATGATTAAATGACTTTCATCCCCGGATGCTTCCTTAATATGTGTGAACTTGTAGGACTATAAGTAATGCTCTGTGTGAGATAACATACTCAACAAATGTTCTAATAGAGAAGAAAAAACGTAATTGTTGTTTTTAAATGTAGTATAAACTTCATAGGATGCTGTAATTTTCCATTTATTTTTCTTGCATAAAATACATAGAATTACATAGGAAAAATAATTTCAGCATAACTCATATGTCCCAACTCTCCTCTAGGATTTTCTAAATTTGATTTAACAAGCAGCTAATGAGCATTTATGTCTGACATTAAGCTAATCACAATAGAGAATATTTAAAACCTTGATATAGCTAAAACACATAACTTACATGGTCATCGTATGTAATTTAATTACAGAAAGTAAGCGATTTCCTCTGTGATATGAGAAAAGACTAAGATTCTCCAGCTAAGATAAACAGATGCAATATTTACATCAGCTGGAAGGAAGAGAGAACTTCCTCACCCATGGACAATGTGACAGCAATTCCATCCCTATTCTCAGCACAGTATCCTCCTTGTTTAACAAATACCTTGGAAACTTGCCAGTTTTCAGGTATTTCCATCTTGGGATACTAGCCAGTTATTCAGGACATGAAACCAGGACAAGAAGCCAGATGTGCAACATATAAGAGTAATAATTATTTTCCTTTTGATTCCCTTATCATGACAATGGAGGATATAACCTATATTTTCAATTATAAATTATTTCATAGACTGACAGAATTTATAAAAGTTCACCTGAATTTTTAAAAATGATATGCCTACTATGCACAAAATCACATACCAGACCATGCAGGGCTTGCTCTGTGTCTCAGTTAAATCTGGCAACGAACCTTGGTCAACCTGTAAAACCCCATGGATTCTCACTGAACACACTGTACTTTCTCAGAAGAAAAGGATTCTACGTATGCCATCAGAGGCTACTCAGTAAGCAACCAACACCATTCAATATATTCATTTATATTTCCCTAAGTTTCTTCACTGTCAACCTTTAATATCTATTTTCCTGAAAGAGAGCTGAAGCACACATAATGGTTTCAAACATCTGTTTGTTCTAATTTTAACAAAAGTTGTCCCATGATTAGAAGCCAACTATTTGGAGTAATATCACGTTTGTTCTCTATAAATAATATAATTAAATTGCTACAACTAACAGGAAAAATAGGAGGTAGCCAACAATATAAATAAACCACAAACCGTGTTTAACCTAGATTTGCATATCGTTCTCTTAGTTTTGCTATGGTTGGAATGGTTTTACTAGAGTTAAATTTCTTTAAATCAGGAGATGTCTGATTAAAATTTTGAAATGTTGCTTTCTAAATTCTGCTTTTTCTTAGCTCACTGCAACCTCCACCTCCTGGGTTCAAGCAATTCTCTGCCTCAAACTCTTGAGTTGCTGAGACTACAGGTGCACCCCACTACATGTGCCTGAAGAAAGTAATGGCAAAAACCGCAATTACTTTTGAGGTAATTAATATATTAATAGTTTCTACTTTTGTTGTATATATTAATAATGAGCTGTTCATTCAAAAGTTTTTACCTAAAAAACAGTTTGCTAAAAGAAAAGCCATTGCATTACAATATTTTGACAGCTTTTGGCTTAGAAATTAGAAAATAAAATAACCACCAACTAATATAATCTTTAGAACATTTTTCTTTGCTTTTCATCTTTTGAATAAGTGACAAATATTAATTAGGAATAGTAGTGATAGTTTATGAAGGTAATAACCACTACTGTAACATGTTAATAATTTAATTAAGCTAGTTTCTATTATGAAGCAAATTTAGAAAAGGGGAGTAAATAAATGTACACAATAATGCATTTTATCTCTTCAATCAAAAAATCCATAGATGCTAATGTAATTTGTTAAAATGCCACAACGCTATTGAAAACCAAAGTTGCCATATGATAAAGTGATATTTATTAAACCTATCATTCCAGAGAGTTTTCCTGCCTTTTGTTATAAATGTATTTAACTGAGGCCATATTTTCTTCACATTTGTTCCCTAGGTTTGCTTCCAGAAAGATTATCTATGGTAGAATAATCTTTATAATAAATCTCAATATACCCTGCTGTGCCCTAACACTTTAACACTTTAGGGCAACAAATTGCCCTAAACACTTGTTAGTTCTTCTAGGCACAGAGAGCTACTATGGCATTAAAATAGATGTATGCAGCACCACATTACATTTTAAAAAGTAATTACAGATATCTCTTCTGTGATCACCTATAATGTAAGGTCCAAGCCCTTCTGTTGAGGCAGGAACTATCAGAAAGATAAAAATTGATTCTGAAATAAAATGCTTATTTCCCAATATTATAAGAAACATAACTGTCTCGGCGTAGTGGCTCACATCCGTAATCCCAGCACTTAGGGAGGCTGAGGTGGGTGGATCACTTGAGGCCAAGAGTTTGAGACCAGCCTGGCCAACATGGTGAAACCCCTTCTCTACAAAAAATAACAAAAATTAGCCAGGTGTGGTGACAGGCACCTGTAATCCTGGCTACTCAGGAGGCTGAGGCAGGAGAGTTACTTGAACGCAGGAGGCAGAGGTTGCAGTCAGCCAAGATCGCACCACTGCAGTCCAGCCTGGGTGACAGATAGAAACTCTATCTCAAAAAAAAAAAAAAAAAAAAAAAAAAGAATGAAAAGAAACATAGAAACATACCCAACTTATTCATTGTGGAAGATTGTCTCTTCAGCCATTTGTATTACGTATTAATTTTTTTTATATTATGGTTTCTACTTTTGTCATACATCTATTAATGATGAGCTGTTTATTCAAAAGTTTTTAACCAAAAGAACAGTCTGCTAAAAGAAAATCCTTTCCATTACGATATCTTTGACAGCTTTTGGCTCAGAAATTAGAAAATGAAATGATAACCACCAACAAAGGGATTCTGCAGCTGAGTATGGATTTCCTCCCAGTGACAGGCATTTTTGTAAGCACAGAGCCTAATAATTGTTTGAATAAACAATGTGTGTGTGTGTGTGTGTGTGTATGTGTGTGTGTGTGTGTGTGGTGTGTAATCTACACAGAAAATTGAAAAAAAATTTTCACAATGGTTAATGGTATTAATAGGAATAAATCCAGATATCTTAAAAAGAGAGACAGAGAGAGAGATAGAGAAAGAGGAGCTCTGAAAATAATTCATTAAGACTCTTTTTATCCTGAAATCCAAAAGAACATCTGAGCTTCCATCATTCATCTTAATAGTTTATAGAGTCAACTCTAATTTCACCATGGATGAAAGAATAAACTTGAAATAACAAATAGGCAAAAAGCTATGGAGAAAAAGCTTACAGATTTATCTTAAAATTTAGCCTGACAATTTCCACCTTGACAGTTCGGTCATGTTTCCTAAAAATGATTAGCTAAAAACATTACTTTATAGTGATTCAATTGTAAGACTTTCTGAAGAACAAATCAAGACTATTTAGTACCAGATATAAATTATTTTAGGCAACTCTTTTACTCTTAGTTTTATTAATGAAAGGACTCTCTTAAAGAATCAAGTCAGGCATTGACACTATTTTGTTTTTTAACTTCATCAGTAGTTAATTTGGACTTCACAGCAGAATGTACACTGAATACATGCTCTGAACGTGGCCTAAGGGACAACACTAACCTGACATCAAAAAGGCCTGTTCATATTACTAACATTAACACAGCATATTACATATAGAAGGTGATTCGTAGATAGGGAGTAATGAACAATGATTAAAGTTTACATGAACTTCATCTTTCAGATACAACTAGAAGCATTTTTAACCCAAAGTTATCAATAAGGCACCATTTGGCATAGCACCTAAGTTTTTCCTTTTATACTTCACCTTAAAAAGCTTGCTGTTGACTACAAAGATGTTGAAAATATAAAAATATAAAAATAATAAGAAATGTCTCAATAGTTTGCATGTCTAGTTGATCATTTTAATGTGCACCTAATACTAATTTTAACCATACACTTAATAAAATGATCCAAACTCATAAATGTATTATTCCCTTTCCATTCCAATAACTCTGTTTTTAAATAGTTTGCAAACACCTAACTGACAAATTCCTGAAGCTGCCTGAGAGTCATGAACCACTTGTACCCCTTCCCAATTTATTCACTTATTTATTCATTTATTCATTATTTCTACTTAAAAATAAAAAATGTGTTGGTCAAGGAGTTTTATATATATATAGTTCTATTAATTCACCAAATTACTAAAGCCATCTTTACCAATCAAAAGTTACTCTAAATTTGTTACATTAGAAGTTCACATTTCCAAATCACAGAAGATTTACTAATTATTAGTCTAGATATAGTATAAATATTTTGGCTTCCACTTTTTGCCATTTATTTAAATCTAATTAAATGCTCTTAATTGTATATCTCTAAGTTTACCTCTCAAATCAGAGAGGATGGAAAGATACTCTTTGCATTTAGGGGTATGAGGAATCCTTATCACTTTCTCCTCGATAGAAAAATCAATTTATTTCCTTTTCTAAGGCCACTGCGAGATGCTTTTCCAGCTCCAGGCTCAAAGAGAGAGTGTTTCATCCCTATTTCAATGGACACCAGAATCAATATTTTCTTTAGGTACTTGCTAAAAAGTAGTTACATTAAGTCCCCACCCAGTGGTACTGGCCTTAGTCTTTTCTTACTATAAAAGAACATGGCTATTCCTGTTTCTTCCTATACTAGGGATCTCTTCAAACACAGGACAGTTAACAAATTGTCAGTAACTATTGGTAAACACATCCTTCCAGGGAAAGGCTTCACATTTATTTGCCTACATACACATATTAGGGAACTTTTCTTATTTAGATATAATAGTGAAAATGTTTGTAAAAGGCAAACGTAAAAAAAGAAAAAACATAAAATAAAAATCTGTTCATTTTAATGAAATGCATTATGTCCCCTAATCTGCCAGGATGGATCTTGTCTATGTAAACAAATTTCATAGTGACTTTCACCTTCTTCAAGATACTTACTAGGAAGTATCTTAAAGGCAATGAATATAACTCTTCTACATAAAATTCTGTACATAGTAGAGTGGATAGACATTAGCTACTAACAAATATTTGCTGGCAAAAAGCTAGAGCAAACATTCAAAGCATTTTTTTATTTTTATTTTTTAATTAATCTATTTTTTTTGAGACAGAGTCTTACTCTATTGCCCAGGCTGGAAGGCAGTAGCATGATCTCGACTCACTGCAACCTCCACCTCCTGGGTTCAAGCAATCCTCCCTCCTCAGCCTCCCAAGTAGCTATGACTACAGGTGCTCACTGCCACGCCAGGCTAATTTTTTTTTTTTTTTTTTTTTTTTTTTTTTAGTAGAGATGGGGTTTCACCATGTTGGCTAGGCTGGTCTCAAACTCCTGACCTCAGGTGATCCACCCACGTCGGCCTCCCAAAGTGTTGGGATTACAGGCATGAGCCACCAGAGTGTTCTCTGTATTAGGCTGCCCAGTCCTGTTTTTGTATGACTCTCTATCTAAGAATTAGAAAAAGGTTTCTCTTTTTAATAAATAAAACAAAAAGAAGAATATATAACGAAGAGTGTATGCGGCCAGCAAAGCCTAAAATATTTATGTGGTCCATTACCGAAAAAGTTTGCCAATCTCCATTTTACAGTACAGACCCTTTGCCTAATATATGTGCCTACTATATACAGGGTATTAGATTTCCAGAGAAGGGAACTAAAAAAAGAAATAATTTTGACTTTTCTTCCTGAGTCCTATAGGCTGAAGGCTATATCTGGGATAGAAAGGGATTAATATTTCCAAAATACTTAAAATGTGTTTTCCTCTTCATCAAATCTGAATCAAACAGTCTGTATTAAAAGTGAAAAGTATATTGCCCTGTATCTTTAATATGGATAAGGGCACCAGAGTTGTGCCCTTTTTTAGCCAAAATGTAGTTATGAAGAAAGAGGCTTCTTTAATAGATGTTAACAAATCAAGTCAGTGACAAAGGGAATGTGAATAGAGAAACCGCTTAAAGAGTAATTAGTTTGTATTTACCCCAAATTTTATTTAGATCTAAAAAAAATTATCTCTGCAAATACTTTATAGATCTAGAACTCTTTTAGTTACATAACACTGTCAGTTAAATTTCACCAAATAGTTACTGGGAGATTGGACCAAAATTGCAGATTCAACATTTGTTAGTTTTCCTTTCTGCTCTAATTCCATGAAAAGACAGAATATATACTTTTTAAGATCCAGAAGAGTGCTAGAAAACAAATGACAGATTTTGAGGGCTATCTTAAAAATATAAAACATACAGGAAAAAAAATGTGTGAAGTAAATCTGTAGATTACCACAGACTAAAATTCACATGGACAAAAATGCTGTAGGTTTGGTAGTATAATAGTAAATATCACCAACATCCATGATAGGTATTCTCAAACAAGGTTAAGCAAAAAACTAATGATTACTATACATTTAAAAAGGATCACCACTTTAAAAGAGCTATGCCAATTTCCACTAAAAGAAAAATTTTCACTGAGAACTTACTGAGAAATGGGAATAAAAATTACCTATATTAGAAGAAAAACCATAACGGAATCAGACTTATCTTCAACGTCGGTTAATAGAAGAGTATGGAGAGATGGCTTCAAGCAGAAAATTCTGAATCTAGAATGTTTTACTCAAGCAATCCAACATCAAGTAGAATGAAAAATACAATGTTTTAAGATCTACAAGAACTCAGAAATATTAATATCAATGAAACCACTCTGAAAGAATTAACTGAAATGTACTACAATAATAAGGAAAAAAGGATCCAAGGAAGAAGATAATGGAGAATGAGAAATAGTCAAATAAAAAGATAAACATAAACAAATCAAAAATGTTAATTGAAAATACAGGAGAATTGAGATATGGGAGGCTGTGCTAAGCAAGAAATACAGTTCAAAGGCATGAAGGAAAAGACTGATACATTTACCCATATAAAAAAATGAAATGAAAACAAAACTTCAAAATGAGGAAAGATAAAAATGTTTAAAAAGACTATATAATGGCTGATAAACATATTTGTCCCATATATGACTTACAAAATGTCAATAGCTAGATTATATAAAAAGATTCTACAACTCTCAAAGAAAAAATGAGCAGGGATATAAACAGAAAAACACTACAGAGAAATTACAGAGAAAATGAACAAAAGTGACCAATAAATATATTTAATGACTTCCCATCTCCCCAGTAACTCTGTATTAATAGAGTTAATAAAGATTAATATAGATTAATATAATTAAAGTTAACTTAACATACAGTTAACTTTCATTTCCATAATGGAAATTAAAACAGCAACATAATTCTCTCTCCATGAGACTGGGGCAAGCAAAACATAGTAATATTAAGTCGTGGTGAGGAGAATTAAAACAGAAGCTTTATATACTGGTAATGCAAATATAAATTAGGAGAGACTCTTGTAACGTAAATTGGCAGTAGTTTGCTCTTGGGAATTTCATTTTTATAAATAAAAAATATTCGTAGATGAATAAATGTATCCATGTGTGAGTTAAATATGGACAAACATATACAGAATATCCACTGCAACATTATTTTTTATAGTAAAAAACATTGAAACAACCTAAATATTTACCAACAAGGAATCAGTAAATACATCATCTTCTATGCCAGAAAATACTGCGCAGATTTTTTTTTGAAAACACTGAATATTTCATGTGTTGTTACATTGTGAATACTAAACATTAACATAGTGAGAAAAATATCTAATAAATTTTAAAAAGTTTTTCATTTATATTTTCCATTTCTCCTTCCACTCATATATCGATTTTGCCCTTATGCAAACTACATATCTGTAAAAATATCTAGGTCTTTTTTAAACTTTTTATTAGCATATAAGCTTTTTTATAAATATAATTGCCAAATATTCATATTTTTTTTCCAAAAAATCGAGATAGTGCTATCAAATATCCAAAACATAGGAATGGAAAAAAGCAACTCACAGAAAAAATGCTTATTAGATAATTCTATTTGTTTAAAATAAACACAATTGACATAGATATATATGTATATATGCGTAAATGTACAGAAAGTAAAATTGAAAAACAGCACCCTGAAATCTTAATAGTGCTTTACTTTGTAGAGGATAATGAGAAAGCAGTAGGAATGGAGGACTCTTTTCCATTTCACAATACATTTCTATATGCTATTCATCTTTTACAATAAAAATGCACTTATGTGACTTCTACAACTAAAGGCATTCAGTTATACAAATTAAACAAGAGGAGAAAACTTTTAAAAAACAAAAACTCATTTTTTTCACTGTCAGTCTTAACATTCATTTTATTTGTCATAATTTGAGGTTTTAATAGTTCTTCATATGTTGACTACTTATTAGTAAATAAACAACTTACTATCCAATTTTAAAGATTTTCTATTTAAGTTAGTACAATAATTCAATATAAAATAAAAAAGTATTAACAATAAAATAAAGATTGCACCCCACAAATCTGGATGATGTTGAAGCCATGGTCCTCATTTTCTTCTTCTAGATATTCACTCTGCTATTACATAGAGTCAGGCCAGATTAACATATGATTTGGGAAATGTATGCTCTTTTTCCCACATTCTGGAATTGGAATTTGTGGTGACATATTTTGAACAATTAATGCTCCTAGAAGATCCTGTTACAAACTTAGAACAAAATAATAAATGGGTTATTACATCTGTGTGTGTCTAAAGTTTATTTAGGAAATCAGAATCTTACCAAGAAAAAGGCCTCAAATCAGCGCTTCATGACCACTAAAGTATAACAACCTCCCACTCTACATTCACTTTGTATGAATACACTTAAGGCAGCTTCTAATAAAGGATGCATATGTTCTGTGTTATTTTGGAACATATACTGTCTGTTAGGTTGAAAGAGCTTGTCCATGAATCAATAATAACTTGGAATCTGGACATCTCTTTGGAGATTAATGGATAGCTAAGTAGAGCTATTCACACCAGAGACCACTAACCCCCATTGGTCCCTGTCCAGTTTGTAGCAGCTGCAGAAAAGGAACACTACGAAACACAGAATTACTTTTTTGGACGTTATTCCAATGATCCTCAGCAAGTGTCTTTTGCAAAAAATCAAAATGGATTAATTTTTTAGGCCAGGTTCACTATATTCTATTCAATTCAGAAAATCCATAAGTCTAAATCCGGATAGCTGCTATTGAAATGTTCATACACTACTCAGGTCTATTCAGGGAACTGGGATAGTTCTGATGCAACAGTGCTTTAATAAGATACAGATTCTTCCATAAGGGTCAGTGATAACTCCAATGTTCAGCTGACAAAAATAAGTCAGGCCTAATTTACCACATGAGTCTTGTCGGCGCTCCTTAGAGTTTATCCTGCCAAATCAATGACTATTCCTGTGGCATAAACCAGATCATTTTCTTTTTAAGGTCTTAGTCATTATTTATTAACTCATCTAGTAAAGTACTCACCTTGAAATAATATAGACTTTAGATGCAAACCATTTACATTTATTTTTTCCCCAAAAAGGGACTTGTGATGAAGTGAACAGTATGGCTTCATGGCTTTTACTACTATGACAAACTAGACAGTTTTGTTTGGACAAATAAGAATGCCAATTTTGTTTGGAAAATCAAACGAGAATGCTGTCTAAAGGTTCTAACCAAGGAGACAATCCATCCGTAAATGACTGTCAAGGTGAGCTAGCCCTAGACCAAACAAGGAAGAGGTTAACAGCTCTAAATCCCCTCTCCTGTTTAAATTCTTATTACCCTTAGGGTATCTAAATCAATGCAACCATGTGTTGTACTGAGATATAATTCCTTGAGATAACTGAGATAAAACAACCGAGATAACTCATTGATATAGCAGAGTATTTACCCTAATGCTCCATGCAGAGAACACAGGCGTTAGCAGCTGCTGTACCTAAGCTTCAAATGGTTTTTCCCCAGTTTATTAGCTGTATGAGGGTGCCTAAATTATGCACCCTGCCTAAAACTTCAGTTTTCCTTTATGCAAAATAGGAATAACAACAGTATCTACTCTACTAGGTGGTTGGGGAGATCAAGTGAGATCACGGACTCCTGCCTTTACCTCTGCTTTATGACAACTTCTCTCCTTGTCTTTCAATTTATTTATTTTCTGCCTTTCCCACTTTTTCCCCCCATATTTTCCCCTATTTTTCTTTTTTAAAAAAAATCCAGGAACTTGCGTCCTGAGAGATATTTTTCTTCTTTTGCTTTGATTCACTGTTTTTAGATATTCTAAATTGGCAAATTTATCCCAATTGGAGGGATAATCAGTGAGAAATAAACAACATAGTAACAGAATATTTTGAAATTTATGAAGGTTTTGTTTTAATGTCTCCAAGAATTTACTAATGACAGTAAAATAAGCAGATTTTGTTCTTATATAAGAATGAAATACATGTGTTCATCTCATTACTATGACTACATTCAATATTTGAGTGAGAATACAATTGTTAAAGTTATTTATGAGATATAATTTACATACAGCAAAAAATTACCCTTATAAGTGGGTAATTATATGAATCTTGACAAACACTTACAGTCAGATAACCACCAATACAATCAAGGTATAAATAATTTCCAACTCTGTTCACCCTTGCCCCTACAACCCAGGCATTTAGCAATCAGCAATTGTTTTCTGTCCCTGTAGTTTTGTGTTTTCCAGAATACCATAATAATAGAATGATATAGCATGTAGACTTCTGAGTTGGTTTCTTGCCCTTAGTGAAAACCATATGAGATTCAGCCATGTTGTTGCCTGTATTCGTATTTTGTTCTTCTTACTGTTGAATACATAAATTGCATGGATGTACCCCAGTCTGTCTATCCACTAAGCAATTGATGGGAATTTGGGTGGTTTCTAAAATTTATCAATTATAAATAAAACCACTCTAAACGTTAGGTACAGGTTTTGATTTCTGGTATGGATGTAGAGAAAAGGACTTACGTTTTCACTTGTCTTTGCTAATATGTAGGAGTAGCATTGCTTGGTAGTATGTTAGACTTTATCAGAACCTGTCAAATGGTTTAATGGTTTTCCCAAAACAACTTTATCATTTCTCATTCACACCAGCAATGCATGAGATTTTTAGTTGCTTGCTCTACATACTTGCCAGTACTTGATATTGTCATTTTTTTAAAAAATTAGCCATTCTAATAAAGGTGTTGTGGTAGCTCATTGTGACTTTAATTTATGTTTACTAATGACTAATGATGTTGAGCATCTTTTGCCTTCCATATATCTTCTGTAGGGAACTGTCTGCTAAAATATTTTGATCTTTTTTACATTGTGTTCATTAACTTATCATTGAATTGTAAGGGTGTTTGTGTATTTAGGATAGGCATGTATTATTCAATATCAATTTGCAAACATTTTCTTCTATCTCTTGAGTTTTCCTTTTATTTCTCAAATGCACCTTTGAAGCCCAGTGCTAAAAAAATCAATTTTTAAGAAGGTAAAAACTTACTTAAATTACTACTTCACATTATTTTTCCCTTTATAAATGTCAATGAAATATTATGGTCATATGTTTTTCAAAGCTTTTAGCTCATTACACTTTTCTTATCTACTTTCCAAAAGAGAAGACTATGCATAGTTAACAGTTCAAGCGCTCTTTTGAATTTCTTTGCCACATAGCTTATTCTCTAGGGAAGAAACACTTACATAAACATGTTGCTCTGAAGAGTACAGAGGGGAACCTTAGTGACACAGTTTTTGGTTCTGTCATCAGGTGTAGACATAGACTTTAGTTTCTCTTCTCTCTTCTCTCCATTCTTAATACTTTTCCAGTTTGGGTTTGGGCCTACATTCATCCTCGAGTCCTATTAAACAGGAGTATGATTTTTGTTCTCCCAACTCAACAAGACAACGTCTTGCTGAGTTTCCTTTTCTCCCAGGAGCTGTTTCCCAGATCCATGGCTCACATGCTGGCCAAGGAGCTGAAGTGTCGTAGTGCTGCACTAAAAAAGCTTTCCCAGGTGGAGACCTCGCCATTTCTCAAATCTTAGCCTTCCTCTCTGGGATAAGTAACAACAGACAGAGCAAAGAATAAAAGGAAAACAAGCACTTTGGGAGCATCCAATAGACCTGGGCCTATGTTCTGGATCTGACATTATTCATTTGTTTATTTACTCTTTCTTTAATGTATTCATTCATTCATTCAGCAAATAACTCTTTCAGCATCTGCTCTGTGTGCCATGCTAGGAACTAGGAATACAGTAGTAAATGAGACAGACTTAGCTTTTTCCCTCAAATAAATGGCAGGTCTGTCATTTCTTTGTTGTCCTGAATAAGCTGTTAAGCTTTTTTGTGTTTCCTTTGTCTATTCTGAAATGGAGAAAGCAGTTCTTAGCTCACACATCTAATGAATATTATAATAAGACAAACCAAAATATCCACATTTTAAAAAATAAGGTGGATGTGATGTTCTTTGTGGTCTTCCATACCCCCAATTTTCTGCAAAGGTGACCTCCTAAATAAATTATACCTAAGGTGGAAAAGAAAGATCCAACTGCAGTAGTACCTCATCAAAATGGATGCTTGTGATGATGGAGAGCTGGTTTTAGCAAGAAGCCCAAGCCAGCCAGCTTTCTAGTATATAATCCTGATAATCTACTCAACTATGGTCCTACTGCAATAGCTTCTGAATAAATGCTCAACAGTTCAGGTTGCCTTTCCATATATTTTCACTCCTATACTAGTGCTTTGACTAGTCTCTATAGTTGTCATTCACCCATCTATCCTCATTGTAAGCACACTTTGCATTTGTCAATGAGGCCTTTGCACTTGAAGGAGAAAAACATGGAAAATAGAACCAGAAAATAGTCTGACATCATGTACTAAATTTCCAGAAAACAGATTATCTAATATCTTGGGAACGCGATTCAAGGAGCACGTTCTTCTGAGATAAAAAACAGCTTTTACAATACAAGCTATTAAAAGGCAACGATGCAATACAAGCTTTTTATTGTTAACTCCATTCTCATAACTTCAGTTTCAATAAAAGATCCCATTAGAAATGCTTCCCCATGTGGCAACTGCTCTGGAATTTCCGCCATTATTTTCTAAGCATTTTATCTATTTATATCATAAAGCTATAAAAGAAAGGTCTGGATCAACAGTGTGTACATATGAATCTTTTCGTCTAAAAGCCTAAGACTCAATCCGAGAGGGGATAATATAAAACTTTAGAAGCCACCCAGTTTCTGTCCAATCTGCCATGAAATAAATTCAGAGACAGAAAGAGAGAGAGAAGAATAAACCTGGCTGTTTTCTATTCATAAAGGTCTCCTCCAAAAGCTAGTCAGTTCTAACTAGCTAACAGAACTAGCAATAATGAGTTTATTTAGTATAAATTTTGCATGTGTTCTCTTTTATTCCTTAACTAGTAAAGTAGATATGAGCATTACCCACATTTTATAGAAGACAAACTGAGGATTATAGAAGTTAAATAACCTTGTCCAAGGTCATACAGGTAGCAAACAGCAGAAAATATTTGAATGTAAATATTCTACCCTCAAACCTTTTATTAAATTATGCAAGATAGAACTTTGAAAGGCTAACACCCTCATCATTAGCACACAGTAGGCATATAATAGAAATTATCAGCTGGTAGATCAGTGAATTTGAGGGCTCCAAAATAGGTTTAGTGCTTATAAAAAGCACAGTTCTTTGTAGACAGAACACTACCTATTATGACAATAAGCTGTTGGCAGGACCTGAAAGAAATCAGGGAGGGCCTTTTGAGGATTAAGAAGGTATAATGAAAATCAGGAAGCTGGTTTAATGAGAAAGAAATGCAATATACTTTGCCTCTCCGATTCCTTTTGTATTTGGTGTACTCATCTAGGAGCAACTCCGTTTGTTTTCTTACTGTCACTCTTTTTTTCACATGGCCTGGAAACGATTCATGTTTCTTTAGTGATGCATGGGGAGAGAATAGTTTATGCAGACAATTATAAAAAGGATGGATTATTGGTAGAGACTGATGGGTCAATATAACATATGGTGTTCAATGCAACTACATATCTTTGGAAGTTACTGACAAGTCTATAGGTACAGCAATATAAAGCAGATTTTACCAAGTGCATAAATTTGCAGAATGACTATATTTTTTAATCACCAAAAGCTATGGACTAAGCCATCTCTAGTGACTTGTGAAATAACGTATGCAAGAAATCTAAATACAAGGACATACAAAGAGTAGAATAATCACAAATATATCAACAGGGAATTATTTGAAGCATACATGTATTAGGAGTAAGTTCTATTACACGAGAGAAAGGTAAATGATTGTTATAGGAGAAAACAATTATATATTGTCTATGAGAGAAGGTAGTCATTCAATATTTATATTGGAAGATATCATTAATAGACGATAATCTAAGTCTTTCATTTTACAAAATGAGAATGGAGACCGAAATAATTTATACTGTATGCACATTTATATAGTTAGCCTAGGGCTAGTCTCAGTGTGCCATACTGCCCCAAAGATTTTTCGTGAACTGAAAATTATAGTACTTTTTTATTTATCTTCTGTTTTAGGTTCCCTTTGATTCTCAGATATTTTTCTTTTATGTTTCTATTAACTCAGCCATTCACCCTTTCCCTTCTTTAGTCACTGCCTGACACTTGGTTGCAATCTACCTTTATACAATTAATTAGGGTGTAATTCTCCAACTTGCTATGATTCTTTTTAATTCTCAGACTATCATCCAAATTCTTTGTCAGCCCCACTTTAAAAGTTGCGAGGACACCAACAGCTCATGCTAAAATATTTTTCATTTCTGGTAAAATGCCATGTAAGTGGAATGCTAATAAAATTTTAGATTCCGTATAATAAATATAATCCATATAGCAGGCCATGTTGCTATCCACAGAAAGCTTCTCCACACACTATTTACATAGGATTCTTCACTACAAAAATCACATGGAGAACATCCTTTCCCTATTCTTTATCTAAGCTATTCCTTGGTAAGAGGAAAGGTTGATGATTATGCTGAAAAGGGGAACCCAGAGCACTTTGCAAATTTATGTTCTTTAACCGGCATGTATTTTAACCTTCAACTACTTTCTATTTTCCTACATTGACTATTCTAATTCATCTTTCCAGAACACTCACTTCCATTCCCAAAATACACACCGACAAAACCTAAGATTTTAGATTTTGTTTACCATGTTCTCTGTGCCAGACATGGTTCTAAATCTTCCATATTTATCATTCACCACATTCTTTCAAGATAGGGATTGTCATTGTCTCTATTCACAGATGAGAATACTGAGCCTTAGAGAAGTTAAATAATCCAATCAGTCTTATAGAGTTGATCCCAGGTGGTGTGATCTTAGAGTCTGTACAATTAAGTACTAAGTTTCATTAATAAACAATCTCACACACACACACTCTCTCTCTCTCTAAATTTAATAACCTCCATCAAGGCTACATTTCCATTATATCTCACCTTGCATTTTTCAAGGAATACACTTATTAAAAGAAAAAATACAGACTTAAATAGGGAGATAACTTATCCTCAAGTTTTCCAATTATACTTAATCACCTAGTCAAAAGCATTCAGCTTTGCATAAGTCCCTATATTATCACGACTTTTGTTTTGACAAGAGAAGAACATAGCCAGAGAGGCAGAACAGAATGTACATGCCAAGGATCTAGGTTTATATCTAGTCTAAAGAAAACCTCATCATAATCAGAGAATTGATTTTTAAACTTCCTCTTCCATAAGGAGAATTTCTAATTTAAATGCAGTTCACTACCAGAGAATGCATTAGTTCTGTGTAATGCATCCAGAAAATGTTCAATAAATATTAACAGATAATTACTAAAGTTATAGATAATATAAATTACACATGTAGTACACACATCTGAGTTTTTTAAAAAGCATAAATTCAAAATAGGATTTTAAATTATATACAAGAACAACAACTGCAAAATTAACTTCCTGAAAGGTACAGCAAGCACAGGATACAAAATAACCTGAACCTTACTTAGTAAACACATACAAACGGTGATGCAATTACACTGTTTTTTTAAAAAAAACTATTTTCTTCACAATTCATTCTCAATATGATTTTCAGTTTTAAATACTAAAATCACTGACGCTTAAAGTGTCTGTTCTCAGTTTAAGAGAAATATAGGGTAATAACATTGAATATAAAAGATCATTTTAGAAAAGAAATACATATTAATGTATTTACACTGAGGCCTAAATTATCAACCAATATGTTGCTTATTATTAATTTCAGAGAGAACTGCATTGCTTTAGGGGCTGAGAAGGGGCCTAAACTGAGACATAATGAACTGCCAAGCTGAAAAGGATGTTAGAGGTCATTAAGTTACGCCTTATAGTTTTCCAGATGAGGACACTGAGACACAGAGAGTAGTTGGGACAACCCGAGGTCAAACCACAAATTAGTGGCAGAGAAAAGACAGGAACTCAGAGGACCAAACGCAGTGGCTCACACCTGTAATCCCAGCACTTTGTGAGGCCGAGGTGGGTGGATCACCTAGGTCAGGAGTTTGAGACCAGCCTGTCCAACAGGACAAAACAATACAAATATATCTACACAACAAATACAAAAATTATCCTGGTGTGGCAGTGCACACCTGTAGTCCCAACTACTGTGGAGCCTGAGGCAGGAAAATCGCATGAACCTGGGAGGCAGAGGTTGCAGTGAGCCAAGAGTGTGCCACTGTACTCCAGCCTGGGTGACAGAGCTAGACTCTGTCAAAAAAAAAAAAAAAAAAAAGAGCTCAGAGGATCCTAGACCTCAGGGTACTGTATTTGAAGATGGGACAATCTTGGAAGGTGTCAGTGAACTTTAAATAAATAGCACCCCATCTAGTAGTTTCTCTTTCAGTCATGGATAAATGCAACTGGAGACAAGTCTTGGCTTTACGCCGAGCAAGGCAGCTCAGAGATTCACAGCAATAATTCTTGTGTGACTAAGCAAAGGCCTCCACTGCTTTAAATCCCTGCATGCTTTAATCTCCAGCTGTCTTTCTGGTGTACTCTCTCAGGGTAGGGAGGGATCTTAAAGATAATAACTTTTAGCTTTGTAAAAAGTTCAGATGATTTTAATGGCTAAGTATTTACATAGGTTATCATTTTCAAAGTCCAAATGTTGGTCAATGAGGATATTATGGAGGGGAAAAGTCTTGCCTACGTGGAATATCTATGACTTTGATAATGAAGAGTGAGCAGGTTCTGCAAGGAGATATGTTGGAAAATACTGAGCTCCCATGACTAAAATTAAGACAGGAAATAAATCAATCTCAGAATTTCTCAAAAGATGTTAAATGGGCAGTTTGCTGGTTTTGGGAAGTGAGAAGGGAGGTGGTAATTATTTTAATCCGTATTTTTGTGGCACAATGCCACAAAGGTGTACGTATCATGCTTAAAGTATATTCGCTTGAATGAGATTATCATCTCATATCTGCTTCCAGGAATAGCTCAGATAGAAACTGGTGCTGGGGTTAAGGTAAGAAATGATGGGTTTACCTTCCCTTGTCAAACAAGCTTTATCATTTAGAGTAAGCACAAGGCCAGTTTAAACCAGCTTAACTTTTACATGTATGTATGTATTTATATTTTCATAGAACTACATATTTATTTCTCACATATTTAATTAGTGTCAAAGACAGCAGTGATAATAGAAAGGAGCCCTGGAATGAAACCCAGAAATCTTGAGTTGACATCCCAGATCTGCATGTACCTGGCTTCTGCCCTTCACCAAGTCAATACCTTCAGGATTCTAGAGCTACAAGACGAAAAGCTTAGACTTCCACCAGGGAAACCTCCATATTACATAAATGGGGGAGATAAGTAGGTTAGACTTATTCAAATGCAGAAAACTAGAAAATTGGCTGAGCTAGGACTCAGTCAACAGCCACTCTAACCTCCTTCTATATCATCTTCTACTATTGTAGAAGATGGAAAGTTAAAAACCATCTTTCACCAATTCCCTTTACATTAGGATTCTTCACATGGCGTAGGTTTCATCAAACTCGTGAGGGGGGAGTAATCATTCCACAGCCCACATGAGTGGGCTCACACAGTGGTGGAATCCCTCTTTGTTATTGTTTGACGCCATAGGTTTCACGTAAGGAGAAATATGAGTCAATGACAATTTTTACTTTTTTTTCAATGGATCCTGGAGTTTAAAAAACTGCAAGAAGGCACTGGAATTAAATGATTAAGTTTGGGTCCAGGCACAGTGGCTCATGCCTGTGATCCAAGCACTTTGGGAGGCTGAGCTGGAGGCTACCAGTGTGTAATCAATCCACATTATATTTAAGGAAGTGTGTTTATTATGTCTTGGCCTTCAGAAGTATTGCTCCACTTGAGCCCAGGAGTTTGAGACCAGCCTGGGCAACACGGCAAAACCCCATCTCTACAAAAAATAGAAAAATTAGCCAAGTGCAGTGGTATGCACCTGTAGTCCCAGCTGCCATTGCACTCCAGCCTGGGCAACAGAGTAAGACCATATTTGAAAACAAACAAACAAACAAAAAAAGATACTCTGCATAGAAATTAATCACAATTTCTTTAAATATGCAGGTTTTTAAAATTTTTTGATTAAAATTTTCCAAAGGAAATAGCTCCAACTTTTAAATATTTGAAGGGGAAAACATTTTATTTTATTTATTTTATAGACAGGCTCTCACTCTGTGCCCTAGGCTGGAGTGCAGTGGCATGATCATACAGCATGGTAATCTGAAATTCCTGGGCTCAAGCCATCCTCCTGCCTCAGCTTCCTGAGTAGCTATGACTACAGGTGCACACTACCACACCCAGGTAATTAAAAAAAAAAATTATCTGGAGACGGTTTTTGCTATGTTGCCCAGCTGGTCTGGAACTCTGGGCCTTAAGCAATCCTCCCGCCTCCACTTCCCAAAATGCTGGGATTACAAGAGTGAGCCATCACATCAGCCACATTTTCATTTAGACAATTTAATTTGGAACAATTGGAGCAATGCTTCTGAAGGCCAACACATAATAAACACTCTTCCTTAAATATAATGTGGATTGATGATACACTGGTAGGTATTTATATTTTGAAGTGCCATGATGAGTTCCGAATGTTTAGATAAGAAATAAAAAGGGAGGACTAGAGGAAGTGTACCCTCCAGAGAAGCCAAATTTAGTCTGGGAAATAGAAATAGGGTCAATGTCAACAGCAGCAAGATGACGACAGACCAATGGCTGTTTACACCAGAGTCTTTCCAGGTTTTCTGACAAGTTTTGTGTTACTTCATATCTTCCTTATTTAATCCTGGCCATTAACTACAATACAGTACTAACATTTTAACTCAGCTATACAAACCCAAAACTTCAATAAGTTTATCAGAGACAATACTGATATGTTAAAAAAATTACTCACAAAACACATGCATACAGAATATAGTAATATCACATATTTTGCAACTGTGTCCACAATTAAGACCTCCTGTACTAAGTAGAATGTCACTGCATATAGGGTATTGAAATACAGAAGCCATTTCTTGTGTAGCACCCAAGGAAAGTCTTTCACATTCAAACTGCCTTTTACATTAATGGAAGTGCCAAAATGATTTGCATTTGTATATTCGCAAATCATATTGTTTTAATATTTCAAAGAACGGATCACACTCACCCCTTATCCTATTTGATTCTATTAGGTCTTCAAAAAGGAACTTTGGGTGGACACAACATACAGAAATCCTATTAAGCATATGATTTCATGAAGGTATGCATGTAGAGTGTTTAGAATATGACACATATTTAAATGCTCCATTAAAAAACTATTAATGTTAGGATTAGAATATAAATCTACAGTAAAATGGTATTGATGACAGAAACATTTTAATCTTTTGTCAGTCAATTATTGATATTTCAAAGTATTTTATAAATTTTGGTACAACACATACACCCACCACAATAATGTGAATCCTTTCAAATTCTTGTTTTGCACATATAGTACAGTATAAACTTGATAAATGTTTTTTAAAATTAATATAGAAATGGATGAATGAGATTCAATTAGCCCAATGTCAGATACAGTTGTTGAAATACATTAAGTATTCAACAAGTGGATACAAAAATATGTTTGAACTGCCAATTATAGCAAGGTCTCTGTGTCAAATTAAAACTAAAACTAAGATACTTCGTATCTTGTTAAAGACTGGCTTAATTTTTGTCACATGGTATACTTCCAAGTGCTTTTACCTGAAGAAGACTAAGCATTTCTCCAGCATGCCTGTCCATAACTAGTATTTATCCTCTATGCAATTTGTTAACATGGTACCTAAGAGTTGACAAAGAAAAGCAGATACCTCTTTAGCTAGATAATTCATTAATCCATGTTATTTTATCATTTTGTGGCCCACTGTAGTGACTCTCACTTATCCATTTATTTGTTCAATAAATATTTCCTAAGTTCCTATTATGCACTGTACAAGGTGGATACTCCACAGTATGCTTAACAGGTATGGCCCCTCCTTTCTCCAAGCTTAGTTTAGAAAGGCAAATAATCAGGAATGAAGGTGTTTATATGGGGCTGAAAGATTAGGGAGGAGTAAAAGGGAAAAGGAGCAACACTTCTTGCACATCTTCTATGTGACAAGCACAATTCCAGGTACTCCCCCATAGTTCCTCTTTTCAGGGAATTGTTGCTGACATGTGATGTCTCCCCCAGGCACCCAGCTTTAAAATTTCTCTCTTTTGTACTCTGTCCCTTTATTTCTCAGACCAGCTGACACTTAGGGAAAATAGAAAAGAACCTACGTGAAATATCGGGGGTGAATTTCGACTGATAGGGAATGACCTCTCCAGCCACCCAGTAACTCAGGTCAAACATTTTGGAGCCATCTCTGACTCTTTTCTTCCATTTCCACTCTATGGTAAAACCATCATTAAATCCTGCCAGCTTTGCATTCAAAGTATGTGCTAACATTAACCAGTTTTCCCATTTCCTCCACTACCACCCTAGTCCATCATCACATCTGGTCATACAAAGGTTACTCTACTGCCTCTCTTGTGCATCTGTAAGCTATTCTCTCTATGACGAATGAAACAGAATCATATTCCTATTTTTCAGATACTTTTCAAATACAAATGATTTTCTGTTGAATTTAGAATAAAATAGGAAGTTCATGTTGTGGTCTGTCAAGTTCTATAAAATCTGGCCTTCAATTACCGTGCCCATCTATCTCTCAATCTCTGCTTTGCTCAGTGTGTTCAACTACTCCAGGCTCCCACTGGGGTTTTCAAGCACACCTCCACTTCAGGCCTGTTTCACTCACATGGAGTATTCTCGCTCAGAGCTGCATGTTTCTTTGTTGTGTTTGCTCAAATGTCAGCTTCTCAGAAGACTGAATGTGTTCACCCTCGCTGAAATAGTAACCGCCCTTATCCATTCTCTATGTCCTTATCCTGCTTAAATTTTCTTTATAGAGCTTGCCATTTTCTGAACATCAATTACATTATACATAACACTCCTATTGATTTCTTTATTATCTGCCTTCCCACCTGAATATATCCATACAAACAGGGCTTCCACTATACAAGGCTCTATCCTCAGCACCTATAACAGTACTAACCATGTAGCAAAATCCAAGAACACATTTTTTGAAATAATGGATTATTTCATTTGATTCTTATATGAAATTGCTAATATTATTACTATTACCAAAAAAAACAGGTAAAAAATAATGAAACAATTTTTGGAAAGAGATAAAATAATTTAGGAAACAGGGCTCATGATTGAGGATTAGATGACTAGCAGAGGATTTAAAAAGTGAAGAAGTAGAAATAACAGAGACAGATGTTTTGATTTTTTTTAATTTCTCAATTTCTTTAATTTTAATATTACAAATGAAATATTTTGGGGAACAATATACCTTAATTCCGTAAATTAATATTTTAAAATTAATAATCTGCTTTGTTAATTTCCAATAAAAATTAAAACCTATACATGAAGATCATTTACAAAAGATGAGAAATGACACAGAAAATATAGAGTGAACACTACTTAACTACTCCTCCACTTTTCTGTTTCCATGTCAGACACATGCCTGGTTTCTGACCCTTGTCAGACCAGGAACAAATTATAATTTGAAAGTAGGGCATAAAGCGCTGGAGTTGAGACTTGTAAGGATGTAAGAGCTTACAACAAAAGAACATAGGAAAGTGTGGTGAAGGCTAAAGAGAATTAGAATGCCTTTCCCCATTTGGTGAATGAATAGATTTTTGTGTTTTGTTTTAGCATATCTTCAGGCCTGAATGGAATGCTTTGTGTAGTAAACACAGTAAAGCTCAAATCGAGTTTACTGCCTCCATATGGTTCCAACCACATACGTACAATGGTAGATTCATGGGGTTGGGGGGGGGGGGCGTTTGTCAGGGGAGGACAAGTCATTTTCCTAGAAAAGGCAATTGTGTTTCTAGAATTTTATTAAGCAAGAGTTCAAAAGCAAGCCAGAGCAAAAAATCGTACTCAGAACATCAGTTTGTTGGTGCCTTTCCAAAACAGCAATTTGATAAAAGTGCATCTGCAAGTCTTTTATCTGCAAAGTTAATTTCATTATTGCACTATACTGTACTTAAAAAAAAGATCCACACATTTATTAAAATTGTAATAAATGAATCACTTAGGCTTTGATCTCCTACACCAGTTTTACTGAGCTCCCCTAAAGGGAGATCAATTAAGCATACATTTTTCCACCTTTTAAAATAATACTCTCAGACAGAGCATTTGAATTTCATTTTATTAAAATGTAGGCACAGTAAACATTATAAAAAATAAAATTCCCACAATTCACGCTATTTTAAAAAATATCAGCAACTGTCTCATTTCATTCTTGATAGGAAAAATAAAATTTTAGTTTGATGATGGGGTTCAGGATATAATATCCCCAAATATAACAGTTTGGCATGCTGAAAACTGCAGAAGCAGGAAGGTCACTCTCATCCTCTTCTGCCTTTCACTCCTGAAGCACATCACAAAACATAGGAAAGATTTTCTGACCTTCTCCTGAAGCAGGTCATAAGATATTCAGGTGAAAGATACCCTCCCTATATTGGGAGGAAAGGAACATCCTTGTCTCTGAAGAAGGGTCACACAGAAGAATCTAAACAAACACCCTGATAAGTTTCCCTAATTTATTACAATTAAATCATACCAAATTTGTCCATTCATACTTTTGTACAACTGTCCACTCTTCATCAAACCTAGCACAAAATACACAGGTTTAACTATTTTTTCAGGTCTTCACTTCCTTACAAAGGCCTCCATGTCAAGTAAAACGTATATGAAATACCTTGTATGCTTTTCTCTTGTTTATTAGCTATTTTGTTATAGGAACTTCAACCATGAACCCAGAATGGGTGAGGGAAAGGTATTTTTCCCCTCCTATAAAGATATTTCCTAAGTGTTCTCTGACACAATACACTAAAAACTACTTTATGACACAACCAGAAGCACTAATAAAATGTTGTGTTTCTAGGAAAGTGCTCTCTTCATCAAATGACATGCTTTCGTAGAAAACAGAATCTTATTCAATATTGTGAGAGTTTTGATTTATTTGCTATAGTGTACCATTGCTTCTGTGTTCCAAAACACAAAACGATTCATATAATAATGAATTTGTTAAAATGACTTTCCGTAAGAAACACACATTTATTTTCCAGTGCATATAAAGAGCTTAGTTATGAGTCTGAAAGTATCCTCTATGTACCTAGGAAGGAAGTTCCCCCATCAGGACAGGCAAGGGAAAAAATTCTCTGTAAATATAACCGAATGAAAACAAAAGGAGACACATCATCAGAAATATTACATCATACATGCAAGATGACAAAATACAATTTTTGAAGTGTTATTTTCTTTGCTACTTAAAAATGGAATGACGGAAATTATATGGTGGCTGTGTTCTTGTCCTGGCTATGAAACTAATAGGGTGACTTTTTCAAACTGTTTTCTTTCTCTGTTCATCTCTAATAAGAAGTGGCTGCAGTAGATACTCTTTAAGATTTCTTCTAACTCTAAAATTCTATGGATTAAGTAATTTAAACATTTTCAAAGGTATTTTCATTTCTTCATATATTCTTCCTGAGCTTATGACAAATTAATTCTATGTTCAAGCATTTATGGACAGACTCTTCCAACTGAAAGAACTGGTGAATTTAATGATCTTGAAAAAGGAGGAGAAATAGGAGGAAACACTTAACTTATTACTATCCAAGAATATCCTAAAATTCTACTCATTTGAGCATCTTCTATGCAGCCCTCATAAGGTAACAAAAACAAATAAGCATAGAAAGTCTTGGAGGAACTACTGATTCCTAAATAATAATGATTTATCAAAGTAAAATTATTGTTATCAACCAGTGGACCAGTTAGGGGCACCAATAAAGTAATGAGAGATTTCTAACTGAAATACATTCACTTATTTACCCTGTAGCATAATAAAAACGAACGTAAGGAATATACAACATTGAGAGCATTGTTTCAGGTCATTTTCACATACGATTCTAATTACTAAATATTCCAGGATGAGAAGAAATGACTAGAGATAAATTATGGTGCCTATTAAACCTTTTATTGAAACCTCCTTTCCAAAAATTAATATCACATTTAATCATCAAAATATCCTATCTAAAAATTTGATTTATTTAGTTGTAGTCTACTTCCACATGGAATTTGGAGTAACTGTGTAAGACATGAAAGAAATTCTAATTGAAAAAAGGCAGACTGGGCAAAAGATAATCAGATAAACTAGATGCACTACATGTATGTAGCTTATTTGCCTCTGACTCCTGGTACATATGACAATATATCCTGCTTGTACACACAATAGTAACATATTTCTGCCACAAGGAAGGACAAAGAAGGAAGCAAAGGAGAGGGGGAGGAAGGAAAAGTTGACTAATTGCATTTTAAACTGTTACCAAACAAGAAGTGAGTTACAGAAATGAATCACCACTACTCTGAAGTTTCAGCTTGTGAATAAAGTTGCCCTGGCTGATACTGATTATTTTCTACTTACCATTTTAACTGTCATCTTTTTAGCACATTAAGGCTCTCTTTTCATAGACCTGCAGAAAACCGGTTTTACTAATCCCTTTCCTCCCAGAATGCCTTCGCTCTTTATCCTGGATGTACCCTCACTTCCTGTTTTTTGTTATTGTTGTTGTTGTTTGCTTGTGTGGTGGTGGGGGAAAAAAAAAAAAACTTAGAAGACATTGAACCATATATCCAGGTTTCCGGAGGTGAACTAACAACCCCAAGTTTGGGGTCTAGCCAACCCTTTCACAGATGCTGGACAGATACTAAGCAAACTACTGCTCACACACCTGCCATGAATAAAATTTTAAATTCATGACAAAGGGCAACCTGAATAAACAGATTCTGGGTGAGAAAATAAAGAAAATGTGCAGAGCCTAAAACAGTTATAGCAGCCAATACATAAAGTATTTGCTTTCAGTAAGTGCCATTTCTGTTTTTGGTTACTTCTCATTCCCTTATTTCTCCCTTTTGACAATATTTTGTTTGGATAAGTCATCAGCCTAGCTGAAATTTTATTACACAGAAAAAAATGAATAATTAAAAAGTTATGACCATTTCAGAAAACTAGGCTTTATGGAAGTAACTTTAAAGTACGTGGTTTTATAAATAAGCATTTGTAGGAGGCTGAGACAGGAGAATCGCTTGAACCTGGGAGGCAGAGGATGCAGTGAGCCGAGATCATGTCACTACAGTCCTGCCTGGACGACACACCAAGACTCCGTCTCAAAAATAAATAAATAAACAAATAAACAAACATTTGCTCAAAAGGGACTCGGGGGTATGATTCTGGTATTTTCCCTCTCACCTATAAATGTTATGCAAATGTATTATTTTTCAAGGAGGGGAATGCCCAGTACTGGGAGACCACTTCTCCATCTAGAGGAGAATTTTCTTGTGCCAAGGTTACTGCTAAGTTTGAAATAGAAAGAAAAGTGTGCTTAGTAAGCACTGAAATAGATCAAAGGAATGAAAAAAGTCCTAAGAAATATTAATTTTAGACTATAGTAAAACTTAATGAATGAACCTTACCGCATAAGATGGAACATACTGGATAGTCACTATAATATGCATGCCTATATCTACATACATATCTACTACATATAGATACACACCTGTATCTAGCTATTTTTTAAAATAGTCACATTTTTCTTGTGATTTCTTTGTTTCTGCAACTCTTGATTTCCTCTGATTACTCTTTTAACTGGATCTATAACCTACATCTTTCTCTGGATATTCCTCTGGTAACTCTCCCTCTTTTATTCCTCATCTTCTTTATTCCAAGTTGACAATTAGTTTACCTTTACCCTGATTACTCAGTTATAATGCCTATTCTTACTTCCCAAGAAAAAAATCTACACATTTTTAAACTCATTTTTGAATTGACATATAATAATTGCAAATACTTATGAGATATATACTGATATTTCTATATGTTTTATGTACAATGATGAGCTCAATGTGATCAGCATATCCATCAGTTCAAACCTTATCATTTCTTTGTGCTGGGAACATTCAGTATTACACACAGAAAAGCTATCCTTCAAAAATGAAAAAGAAATAAAATATTTAACAGATAAGCAAGAAATAAGGGGATTCATCACCATGAGAATGGCCTTGCAAGAAATGTTTAAGAAAGTCTCACATATGGAAGTGAAAAGACAATAATTACCAACATGAAAACATGCAAGACTATAAAACTCACTGGTAGTGTCAATACACAAAGGAGAAAGAAAAAGGAATAAAATCTTATCACTATAGAGAATCACCCAATTGCAAAAATAAACCATAAGAGAGGAAGTAAAGAACAAAGGAAATACAAAATAACCATAAAACAATCAGTAAAATTACAGGAATAAATCTCCACCTATCAGTAGTAACCTTCAATCTAAATGGATTTAATTCCCCCTTGAAAAGATACAGACTGGCTGAGTGGATTAAAACAAAAATGACCCAAATATATGTTGCCTACAAGAAACCCATCTTATCTGCAAATACACACATAGACTGAAAGTGAAGAGAAGACAAAAGATATTTCAGGCAAATAAAAACCAAAAGCAAGCAGGGGCAGTCATACTTACATCAGACAAAACAGACTTTAGGTCAAAAGCTGTAAAAAGAGACAAATCTACATTTTTTCTTGGATTTCTCGGTATGATAGAAGCTAGCAATCTTCAAAACGTGTATAAATCTATTGCCAGTCATTGACATTTCTTATAAGAACCTGTGTAGTTGTCTCACGTGGGTCCGCAGCTATTTATTTCCAATTTCCTTTCCATTTAAGACCTACCTATGCAGCCATAAAAAATGATGAGTTCATGTCCTTTGTAGGGACATGGATGAAGCTGGAAACCATCATTCTCAGTAAACTATCGCAAGGACAAAAAACCAAACACAGCATGTTCTCACTCATAGGTGGGAATTGAACAATGAGAACACATGGACACAGGAAGGGGAACATCACATACCGGGGACTGTTGTGGGGTGGGGGAAGGGGGGAGGGATAGCATTAGGATATATACCTAATGCTAAATGACAAGTTAATGGGTGCAGCACACCAACGTGGCACATGTATGTATATGTAACAAACCTGCACGTTGTGCACATGTACCCTAAAACTTAAAGTATAATAATAAAATTTAAAAAAAAAGACCTACCATTTGAGCAACTATAGTCTTATAATAACCTTCTGTTACTCTCTATTTTTCTAAGTACACCACATACTCAAAAGGTAAGCTCCTTGCCCCTTAATATAGTTACAAGGTTTACAAAGCTTAGTTTCCAGCCTGTTTAACCACTTTTCAACATCTTGCCTCTGTGCACTACAAATTCTAAGTTATTTGTAGTTCTTCAAATGAGTAAGTGTCTTTTTGCTTGCTCTACCCTCTTCTCCCTATGTTCCCTTAGCTCTAATTCCTATTCATATTCAAGTTTCGCCTTAGCTGTCTTATCCTCTAGGAAGCCTCCTCTACCTCCCAAATCTGAGTTGCTTGTGCCCTATCATTACTGTTCATCACTCTGTATCGTGGCTGACCTTCTAAATGTCTATATTCACCTATAATCTATGAACACCAATAGAGCAGTGACCTGCCTATCTGATGACAAACATAACCCCAGTGCCTAAGCTCAATGACTTTACGTATTACTTAAAAGTCATAAATGTTAAACATTTTTCTCTAGTGCATAAATTACAACATTAGATACTATAATGAGCTATAACTCTTCGTCTCTTTTTATTTCAAAATTCTATTTTGTAACAAATTACTTTGTTTCCATATGCAATTGGACATGTTTTTCAGATAATTATCAGAAGATTAATGAGCATTTTCTGAACCATTTCTGAAATACAGAAAGGGTATTCAAAAAAAATTATTGTCCAAAGAAAAATTGATACAATACTTATTTGGAAGTCCTGAAATCTAAGAGGGTTAAAAATATGTGTGCCTATGACAATTTCTGAATTATTTACAAAATTTTGGTGATACAATATAGAAACTATTTACATACTTTCCTTATGAGTTACTTATGAAAACAATGTTAACATAAGTTACTCGAAGTGTTAGGGGTTTAGGAAAATTGTGCATAATAAGCACATAACCATTATACACATCAAAACGTACTTTTACCTTTTGTGTGTGTGTGTTTTATATATTATTTTTCTATTTTTAAATGAAGCAGATTTGAGAAATTATTGATTGGATAGTTTTTGATAAAGGATAAAAGAGTTAGACAGGTTAAATACACATTTTTATGGGATGCACTTTTACATGAATGTTTCTTTCTTAAACTGAGTAAATCCTGAGATAAAATATTATCACCAAAGATATTTAGCTAAATTGTGGACAAATACATAGAGTAACAGTCTGTAGACAACAGCAAATAATTATCTGGAATATTCCCTTCATTTCAAAAGTTTTCATCTTAGGTATATTGTTTGAATATTTTATTATCAAAAAGCCAAAATATGATGAAAAAGTCATAAAGTGATAAAATCCTAAGAAAGGAAATAACAGTGGAAAGAAAAATTAATCTTGCACAGAATAGAAGGAAAATAAATAAACGAGAAGCACACAAATAATCAAATAAAGAAAATAATAGTAGAAAACAATAAACCTGTTTTGTATGCTGAGATTTGCCTACAGTCTTCCTATAAAATTCTGGAAACTATATCTAGAGGTTGCTCTTTGATTGTTGCTGGCAATGTATCATTTGGTTGGGAAATACATTCACACATAAATAAAAGAGATCAGTTATAAAGAAAAATACAAATGTCAAATCAATTAAACCCAAGCAGTGCTCCAAATCAAACAAAGAAGAGAGTCAGAGAGTAGCTCAAATGCTATTATACTATCTAAAAAGAAGGGGTTTACTTTTGATCCTTTGTGTATATGACTCCATAGAACCTGCCTGAGCTATTCTGAAGCTGTGAGTGGCGATGGTGAAGGCAGATGAGAAAGCATGACGTGTAGAGACAAATAAAGCTTGGGTTCAAATTTTCTCCTTGCTATTTAGATTTTTCCAGGAATTTGTTTTCCTAAATACAAAATGAAAATAATTAAATTTGGTTTGTGTTTTTGAGAATTAAGTGAGATAATAATCACAAAGTTGATCACTGCAGGGTATGGCATACAATCATTACACATCAATTCCTTTCCTCTCTTGCCCATTACTATCTATACAGGGCATCTTGAAAACGTATTTATTAATTGTATTTCTTATAATACATCATTTTAATTGTGTATAAAATATACTCAAAGATACTAAAAGCATCAATATAATAATTTCCTAACATAACATTTTAGCTCTTTGTAAATATATATAAATATAAATTTATAATTTACAAATTAATAGCCACAAATGTTTTCTTGGAATGTTTTTATAAAACTTGTAGTCATATACTTCTATTTTTTATAGACTGCTTTTAATTTCGTGATAATATTAAGGTTATTTGGTAGGACAAATCACATTTTTTTTTAGTTTTAGGCAATTTTTTCTTAAACTGGAAAAATCTGAGACATACAGTAAATGAAACAAAAATCTGAGCTGTAGAGTCAATGAAAACAAAGTATAACTAATTTGTGGAAAGGCAAAAATTAGAACCCAGCAATGTACTATTCTACTAAATATCTTTAGTTTCCACATAAATCATGAGTTGGCATATAACATGGATAGTCTGAATAAACTCTTGTTACTTAACTCCAATATTGCCCTAATTTCAAGGAGCTGATCCAGAAGAGGAAGATCTGAGTTGGGACTTCAGACCAATGGCAAGATTCAAGCCTTTCATCTCCATGCTTTCTGCATTTCTCTATAGATATTCAGTTGTGAAACACCTGGAGTTTATGTGTAGTTGGCTCACACCAGCTGCATTTTTGAAGAAGGGGTAAAATAAGCATTTTGGGTTAGATATGAAAAATTTTATGCAACAAATGCATATTTGGAAACTGCAAAATGAGCATGCAAATCAATTTATATGCATCGATGAATGAATATAGACGGGCTATTTTCAAAGTATAGGCATTCTAGTGTAGCATAATATATCGGGACAAAAGGAATGGGAAGGAGGCAAATTGCTCAGCTTAGTCATCCATTTGCAATGGAAAATTGCATTGTCAAGTTCCATTATGCCTGCACAAATTTAGACAAATTAAAGAGTCTACTAAGTAATTATTGATAACATACATGTGTATGAAGTAGAGCAGGAAAGTTGTGAGTCATTTGGAACTTCTCAGATGTTTCTAGGATTTTCATTAGCGAAAGGAGGCATTGAAAGAATGATAATATACCTTACTATGAAACCAATTTGAGACACAACACTGGCCTATTCAGCCATATCTCTTCTATGGTGACAGAGATGGATAACAACCGGAAAAAGTGTAAATAAAACATTAACACAAATCACTCTGCTGAGGAGAAACGTTACATCTGGTTCTGGACCCTGCATCTTGTTAGGATCCCTTCATTCATTACTTCATTACCAGGAGAATTATTCAATCTGACACACGAGACCAAGTTAAAAAAAAAATCCTTAGAATTATACAAACTTTAAATCCTATATTTCTCTCTTTTACAGTGTGTGTTCAGAATATATTCTGCAAGGTTACTGTGGTATTCTCTTCTGACAATATAAACATTCTACTACGTTTAAGACAGAATGTTCAACCAAGGATAACATAAATCCCTGGAAAGTCATATAATGGGTCTCATCTTCTGAAATGGACTATTGGTTTGACATTTCAAACATCTCATAGATAATCCCTCAAGATGGAGAGTCACCAACTTCCTTTGATAATCTGCTCTTGCACTTATAAATATTTATCCTTCAACAATTTAAATATGTTTTTTCTTTACCCTCTTCACTGAAAACAGCAAAACACCTGGTCTTTACAGGTTATGTGCCTTTTTATACATAAATAAGTATATAAATTCTATTTTGCATATATGTGTATGTATTTGACATTTATTTATACTCGCTAAACGTATTTTTAACAAACTTCCATACCAGTTCACAAAACACACCTCATTCATGTTATATTGTGAGTCATTATACACAGCTCTACCATAATTTATTTAATCAAATCCATGTTAATAAACATTTGGATTTGACTCCATTTACTTGTTTTCACTATTACAGACAACATGCAATGAGTACCAGTGCTAATATATTTGTGAGGCTTGTTCAGGTATTTCTGTTTAAAACCAAAGTTCCTAGAGATGAAACTGTTAAAGGAAATACACATTTACATTTTCATAGTTACTGTTAAACTGCCTCTCAAAAGAACTATAATAATACACACTCCATCCAAAGATGCACAAGAGCATAAGAGTGTCTACGTTGCCACACCTTTCGGCCAAAACTGGGTATGATGGTCTTTTCTGTGCTTTTTTTTTTTTTGGTCTTGCTTTGCCACCCAGGCTAGAGGACAGTGGCACAATCACAGTTCACTGCAACCTCTAACTCCCAGCCTCAAGCAATCTACCTCAGCCTCAAAAATAGCAGGAACTACAGGTGTATGCCACAACATCTGGCTAATTTTTAAAAATGTTTTTGTATCGCGCTTTTTGCCTGGGCTGGTCTCAAACTCCTGGCCTCAAACAATTCTCTCACTTCAGCCTCCCAAAGTGCTGAGATTACAGGAATGAGCCACCCTGCCCAGCCTGATGGCGCTTTTTAATATTTTCAACAAGCTAAACAATAAATCATATACTTCATTTTAATTCACGTCTTTACTTATTATTGAGGTCAAGCTTCTTTTTATACATTTACTAGCTATTTGATATTCTCTTTTAAGAAATTGCCTACTTGTTTTGTTTGACCATTACCGACAATATTCTCTTCTTAATATCTTGCAGTGAGACCCACTAACGTTTATTGAACTCCTACAGTGGGCCAGACTCTGGTAGCTCTTACGTATATAAAAGGTGTAAGTGCTCCCCTGGGGACTTAGAATCAAGTGAAGAAATCAGATGGGATGATAAATTACTATAATAAAATGTGTTCAGCATAAGAATAAGGGTCTACACAAAGCCAGCATTGTCCCTGCTGGAGAACCAGGGGTGAGCAGGAAGAGGGTATCAGGGATGATTTCACAGAGAAGGAGACCTTACAGATGGGTTTTAAATGATGGGTGAAATTTCACTCAGTAGAGATTCAATGGAAGGCACTAGGTCCAGAGAGAGTAACACTAGAAAGAACCCCAAGACATGTGAACACAATTATTATTCAGAATATAAATAATGACTGGCTTAGATCACAAAGTTTCTGTTGAAAGAAAATGGTAAGAAATGAGTCTGGATAAGGAGACCAATTTATATACAAGTGCTTGCCTGCCATTCTTGAGAATCTGTATTTTATCTTTCAGCCAAAGGAGCAGTACTATTTATAAAGGATCACTCCAGTAGTAGAGACAAATGGCTTTGAAAGGGGACAAAAGGAGCAATGCCTGAGATTGGGAAAGTGGTAAGTAGACTATAGCAGCAATCCTGATGAGGGAGTATGAGAGCCTAAAATAGCATAATATCAATAGAATCAAGAGAACTTGGTCACAGAAAGCATGTGATTAATCCTTTCATCTTTCTACAACTAGTCACACTGGATATTCATCTCTGTGGCAGCATTTATTGCATTGTAATGAAATCATGCATGTTGTCTACCAGCCCACCCCACTAAAATGTGACGCTTTCCAACTCTTAGACCTGTAGTTGACCAAAACGTTGTTTCACCAAAAAATAAACTTTCAGGTTTCCTCACTTTCCTTGTGTTCACATTTTATGCTGCAACAAACTCAGTATTTATTAATCTAAAGTCTTTTTTTAAAAAAACTTAGCCTCTATAACATTCTAATGCCTTAGTGCAAACTGTTTTATTTTGATATGGAAGAATCCAGTGATTACAGTAATTTGAAATGATGGTGACTTAATTAAGAGTGTGAAGCAATCCATTAACTATAATTTGTAAAAGGAGCCATATGTTTTTCACTCTTTTAGGTATACCATTGGACTTGCATTTTCAAAAAGTAAACCTGCTAATTTTTGCTTCAACTGAGGATATCATTAACAATATCACCAGTAGCACACATGTGTACCTTATTACAGATCTTCATATACTATAATTAATAGTGAGTTTTATTCGTATTTGGATGCCTGAATTGTTTAGACTTGTATTTAGGTTTCAAGCCCTTTATTTGTGCTGTCAAACGTTTAGTCCTCAAGGGCTTGAGAGCACAGAGGTGAACACTGCCTAAGACCTAACATCTCACCTCCTCCTGTGTGATGGCTTCTTAATATGTGGTTCAGGAATTATGAATGGAGAAAAACAACAGAGGGGTCAAAGATGAGGCTAGATTTCTGGTTTGTGTAACTGGCTTTCCTGGGAAACCAAAAACATGACAGAATACCCAGAAATGCATGTTTTTCATTTTGTGAGTACTATAATTTTTTTTCTCTGGTTTTTGTTTTCTTTGTTTTGTTTTTAACCCAAAACTATTTTTCTGCCCTCTAATCTCATCCTCCTCCAGGAACAATTCATACCAGTACTACCAAAGACCCTTTCACCCAAAGCTGTATTTCACAGAGGAAGAACAATTACATAGGATATAAACGGACTGAGATGTAAGAGACACCACTCGAATATTCTGTGGTTATGCAGCAGGGCAAGAACATCACACCTGGTGGAGGTAGAGTCAGTACTGGGAGGATACCCTGGAGATGGCAAAGCAAACAAGAGGAAGTGCAAGGTGAGTCTGCAATACAGGCAGCGGCTGTAACTCGAGCTCAACCAGCTCAACAACGTTTAAGGAAACATGAAACTGGGGCAATCCACTGTGTAAAGAGGACAAGGGCAGCTGGCTCAGGGCAAACATAAGCATGTGGGTGGAGAGCCTGCCCAGAGTGTATTCCAGGGACACCAATGTGCAACAACAGCAAGTCAAGTCACTGGGGGAAGTAATTCATGGGCCAAGTGTTCTGTAACAGTTGGTGACATATTTTATGCAAATGTATCTGTGAATTATAACTTCAGACACTCTTGAAATAGAGTTGTTTTTTTTTTTTGGCAGAAATTAGGTTTTGTAGGGGGAGGGGAGAGTATTTGTTTTGGGCTTTTTCCAACTCAGGACTTGGGAGATTTGCACGTTAAAAGGCTTTCAGAAAAGTCCAATTATTTACATAACTACAGAACTGAAAATATATTTCAAATGTTACTTAGTCCAGGCTGCTGACCAGAAAAAGAGGAACCTTAAGCAATTTAAAACTAGCAGTTGTCTATTTAAGCTACTAAGGATCTCTAGTGATACAGATTCACCCACCACTTCTGCTGACCTGTTCTCACATTTATACTAGAATTACAAGTGAATGCTGTTTTCTCTTTCCTTCGGCCTAAACCAGCACAATTTTGTTCAAATCCATTTCCATTGTTTAGTCCTCTGTGGACCAGACTACCACTGCCAGTTTTCCTTAGTCCAAATTCTTTTTTCTGTTTGTCAGCTCATATTTTTCTGTCCTACTTTTCCTGCTTACAAATGCAATGCTATCAAGATTTTTCCCTTTATACAATTCTGGACTGCCTGATCTACAGACACTAGTGAGAGACATTTTTTAAGCCACTAGATAACAAAAACCTATCAAGAATTTTATGAAGTTCTTGTCCATGCAATTTCCAAGGCATGATGGGAAATTAGCAAGTCAGACAAAGGCAACAGGGAAGGTGAGGGGGTCACTGAAAGTGCAGTGATGCTGCTGCTGGGATGAACAGACCAGGATGACTGTAACACATTTTTGGAACTAGCCTTTGGAAGAGCATTAGCCAGCTGAAGTGATAGTGGGTAAAATAAACAGAGCGGGGGCTATTAGAGGAAGGAGGCTGAATGTCAGACCAGTTGCAAAGAACGAGGATTGGAACATTTTTAGCTCAGTGAAGACAGCACTCTTTCTCTTAGGCAGATAAAGATAATTGAAGAGGATGCTAACCATATGGATTTTATTTCCACTGAAGACATAAAAAAATTAATTTATGTCAGCAGAGAAAGGATATTCATTAAACTTAAGGGAGAAATTTTCTGCTCAGGAAAAGTTATTAAACAGTTAAATGGAATTTTGAAAAAGAGAAAAAATATGACATTGCATTAGCTTATACAGACTTCTTTGAAACACAGGAGAGATTATCCTATGTGAAAGGGTGTGGAGGATATACAGTTAGTTATTATTTTATAAATAAAAAAGAAGGAATTACAAGTGAAGAGTCTGGCCTCAGGATTTACGCAGCTATGATTCAAATGTCAGGTTTGTGAATTTCTAGTGCGTGAATTGGGGAAAATTTTAAAAATCTTTCTGGGCCTTAATTTTCTCACCTATCAAATGAGAAAAAAGTCACCTACTTTTTAGGGTTGTAGAGTAGACCAAATGAATTAATAGCACAAAGAGCTGAAAATAGTGCCTGACACACTGTGAGAGCCATTTAAGATTTTGCTATTGTTGTTGATGTTGTCAGTTGGCAGGAAAAATTCCAATGATACACTGCCAGAAATGACAGCTAGAGACAAAGAATGATTATATTTTCTGTAGGTTAAATGTAGACAATTACGTATTTATTCTTGTCTTTTCCTTCCTATTTCCCTTTTTGGCTTAAGCCCAGAGCCAGAAGTCAAGCAATGTATGTTCCTGTCCTGTCTTCTACTAACCAGATGTGTGATTTTTTAAATTTTAAACCAACAGTTCTCAATGTCCTCATTGTTTCAAATTCTGTTAACTCTTCTCTGTGTCTGTCTGTCTCTCTCTCTCAATTTACTTTAATCACAAATACTCTTTTTCTCTCCCATCATCTTTTCTCCTATCTCCTGTTCCTCTCTTCTGGTCTTCTGTCTCATTTTCTAAATTATCAAACAGCTCAAGCTTCCCAGCTTCCCTGAGGCTTGAGCATCTTTCCATCCTCCACCTCCTATGGGCAGAAGACACTCAGAATTGTGTATTTGGCTCCAGTTCAAATTGTTATTGTCTCTGTTTAGGATACAAATAAGGATTTTGTCCAGGATGGATAATGTCTTGGGTCGAGGAGAAGGAAGGTGCCCATCATTCTTCTTTATTGCCAAGAACCTCTGGGAACATGAACAGCTCCCAGCTAACAGCAGGAGAGGAGCACCATTCCCAGAAGATTTATTCTAACTCCTGAAGCTCTACCTATGTCTGTACTTTTATGAAGGAAATCAATATATAGAGTCATAGAATAACAATGGATAAACTTCAAGTGAAAAAAAAATATTTAAATATCATTTGAAGTCAAAAAATACATTGTGATAGAAGAAAGACATATTTTAATCCAACCATTTTTAACTTAAATAAAGGGTGAACAGGACAGAGGAAAAGAAAATGAATGTCTAATATATTATAAAATATATGTAATGATATTAACTGAAAAATGGAGCACGTTTTTAAACTTACAAGTTACCATTTGAAAAAAACTACTTTAAATTTCATATGGAACCAAAACAGAGCCCGTACAGCCAAGAAAATCCCAAGCAAAAAGAACAAAGCTGGAGGCATCAAGCTACCTGACTTCAAACTATACTACAAAGCTACAGTAAACAAAACAGCATGGTACTGGTACCAAAACAGATATATAGACCAATGGAACAGAACAGAGACCTCAGAAATAATGCCACACATCTACAACCATCTGATCTTTGACAAACCTGACAAAAACAAGCAATGGGGAAAGGATTCCCTATTTAATAAACCATAAAGATCCTTGAAGAAAACCTAGACAATATCATTCAGGACACAGACATGGGCAAAGATTTCATGACTAAAACACCAAAAGCAATGGCAACAAAAGCCAAAATTGACATATGGGGTCTAATTAAACTAAAGAGGTTCTGCACAGCAAAACAAACTACCATCAGAGTGACAGGCAACCTGCAGAATGGGAGAAAATTTTTGAAATCTATCCATCTGACAAAGGGCTAATATCCAGAATCTATAAGGAACTTAAACAAACTTACAAGAACAAAACAACCCCATCAAGAAGTGAGTGAAGGATATGAACAGACACTTTTCAAAAGAAGACATATATGTAGCCAACAAATATGTGAAAAATAGCTCATCATCACTGGTCATTAGAGAAATGCAAATCAAAACCACAATGAGATACCATGTCATAGCAGTTAGAATGACGATCATTAAAAAGTCAGGAAACAACAGATGCTGGAGAGGATGTGGAGAAAAAGAAACGCTTTTACACCTTTGGTGGGAGTTTAAATTAGTTCAGCCATTGTAGAAGACAGTGTGGTGATTTCTCAAGGATCTAGAAACAGAGGTACCATTTGACCCAGCAATCTCATTACTGGGTATATACCCAAAGGATTATAAATCATTCTACTATAAAGACACATGCACATATATGTTTATTGCAGCACTATGCACAATTGCAAAGACTTGAAACCAACCCAAATGCCCATCAATGATAGACTGGATAAAGAAAATGTGGCACATATATACCATGGAATACTATGCAGTCATAAAAAAGGATGAGTTCATGTCCTTTGCAGGGACATGGATGAAGCTGGAAACCATTGTTCTCAGCAAAATAACACAGGAACAGAAAACCAAGCCCTGCATGATCTCACTAATAATTGGGAGTTAAATAATAAGAACACATGGACACAGGGAGGGGAACAGCACACACTGGGGCCTGTCAGGGGGTGGGGGTCTAGGGGAGGGATATCATTAGGAGAAATACCTAATATAGATGACGGATTGATAGGTGCAGCAAACCACCATGGCACGTGTATACCTATATAACAAACCTACGTGCTCTGCCCGTGTATCCCGGAACTTAAAGTATAATTTAAAAAAATAAATAAATATCAAAAGCAAATATGTGTATAGGTTCCCTAACTTTTCTGATAAAAGAGGTTTCTGGGATTCTTTTTTTTTTTTTCTTTTAAGAGATAGGGTCTTGCTCGGTTGCTCAGGCTGGAGTGCAGTGGCACAATAATAGCCCACTGCCTCCTAGAACTCCTGGGATCAAGCAATCTTCACACCTCAGCCTCCTGACTAGCTGGGACTACAATACACGTATGGCCACCACATCTGGCTTTTTTTTTTTTTTTTTTTTTTTTTTTTTTTTTTTTAGAAATGAGGTCTCGCTTTTTTGTCCCGCCTGGTCTGGTACTCTTGGACTCAAGTGACTCTATTTGTACTCCCAAAGCACTGGGATTACCTTATTTCCTAGAAAGTTGGCAGAACTTTTTAAATAGACATTCATAAATGTATACTCTTACACATTTCACTGTGCTTTTGAGTAGTGAAATACAATATGTAACTTCCTATATTTAGAATGTTTTCAATTCAGTAAATTAAACATTTAACATTTGTAGCATCACGTATAATTTTAAATAAATAATTACATTATTTGCTGGAAAATAAATCAATTTTTCACCAAAGTTAAAGAGCTTAAGCTGTATAGTGGTTTCTTCCATACAACAACTATAGTCATATGCTGCCATGCCAGCTATTTCCCTAAGGAGAGCCCAGGCATGCTTAATTATAGAGGAACACCATTACTTAGAAGAAAAAACATGAGTCTTTAATTTCCTTGTCTCCGCTGGACGGGGCTGTGGATTCTGCTGAATCTAGCAATGTCTGAGTAACACTTAAGCCTAGCTGTTTCCATATACGGGCCAGGTGTTGCGAGGTCCCAAACAACAGTACCTCCTAAGCTCTCATCAGTTGTGTTTCCATCATGGATTAGAACCCACACAGAATTCATTATGTCTATAATTAAATGAAGAAAGCCCTTCTGATGTCAGGATATTAGTGAAGCAACTGTTCGTCTTGGCAGCTCCGCTTTTAACTTTTGGATTGCCAGATCCCTCCTGGGAACCAACCTAAGAAAGCACTATTTGATGTAGCAGTTGTTCCTGCAGTGTGGTGTCAGTGCATTTCTAATTACAGTCCAGACAGTTTTGAGCGTGAGTAACTAGACAAGAGGCCAGGTCAGCACTTTGGCTTGCCAGGTCAGACTTATTTTCCTCCCACTTCTTTCCAATAATAGTTTCTCATATATACCTGAAATAGTACAGGGCATTCATCTTTCCAACTCTAAGAACCACTCCTAAGTTCAATTTCAAGCTATGTGTTGGGAAGCCAAACACGCTTAGCCAAAAAGAGGCACTATCTTCTCATTACGACATTTCAATTAAGTGCCCACTGTACCATCATCTAGATTTTCAGCAGAACCATACTCTAACTCAGCAACTCTCATTATTTATGTGACTGAGCTAGTTCTTTATATTTGTGCTGACTCACCACAGAGGTTGATATTTTCAATAATTTTATCATCCAAACTCTGAAAGAGATGAAAACTTTGTGTTGCTTGTTTTCCAAAATAATAAGTTTTTCATCAAAAGGACAAAAATTTGTTGTAATATTATTTAGTTGCAATATTTTGGGGCTTTACTGCTGGTTATGATAGAGTAGAATCAACCCATCAAGTAGAATATGAAAAGAAGGTTAACAAAGGAAGCAAATAAACAAGCGTTATGAAAACAAAGAGTGATGAATTCTGACAAGCTATTCCATTTTCTTTATTATCATGACAGTAGGAAGCAGCACTAAATGTAAGAGTCTGCCACAACCCTCAAATCTGAATGCTTTATTATAAGTCAGCCATTTAAAATAGTACCAACCTGAAAACTAGTGAACAAACAGCCCAGCATCCCTTTGATAAGCGAAATATACAAGTTGTGTCATACAATGGACAGGGCTGCCTGCTAAGGTATTGGGCATACTTGGACCCAAATCCCAGCTCTGCCATTTACGAGCTACTGAACTTTTAGCAAGTGATCTCTTCTAACTCACAGTTTTCTCACTGATAAAATCGATATTTTATAAAATTATCAAGTAGGACTATGGTAAGACTATATAAGATAAGGTAGACAAAGTACACTGCATAATGCCTTTCACTCGAAAAACACTAAATAGTAATTTTAATAAAAACTACTGTGATTTTTAACAGAATGATTTTAAATTATTCTCAACTTCAAGAGGTGCTTATGACCTTACCTTTAAGGAGAGGCATCTAGTCCATTTTCTGAAATAACTTAATGTATAATATTTTGGGGGAAAATCATGTATATTTGCAGATTTAGAAAATACTATGAGAGTTATGGTTGAACTACCTGGTAATGCCTTTTCCAATATCCAATTACTCATTCAAGTATTTACTGAACTCTTACAAAATACTCATCATTCAATTACTTAACAATTCCAGCAGTTGAGTTGTTCTAATTGGAAAACTTACATTGCCTGATTGTGTTGGTAGGATTTGTGCTCCGTGGATGCAAGTGTAAAATAAGAACCTATGTTTTATTTCTAAACATTATAAAGAACATAAAAGTGGAAAATGATTCAAATTCAAACACTGTATACAGTGTTTAAAACAGAGTACTTTCTCTGCTTACTTTTAAAATTATTCATAAATAGGTCTGCTCTCTGGAATACTCCTTGGATATATGTTACAAATATTTGACTTTTATACTCAACATTTTTCAATATAGATTTCCATTAAGGATTACTTTGTAACTAAGCTTTTTTGTATATTCAGTGCATTGGTATTCACTGAACAGCATTTCTGTTTTAATTTGAAAGGTTTTTTTTTTTAAGTTGAGGGAGAGTTTACATACAGTAAAGCATATACATTTTACGTATATAGTTCAGTGAATCTTTACAAATGTAACCACCACCCATATCATGCCCAATGCTCCATTGTTTTGTCCTCTTCTAGTCAAGACCACTAAAAGGTACCTTTATCCCAACCTCTATCATCATAGATTAGTTGTATCTGTTTTAAACTTCATATAAACAGAATTATATCGTATGCACTCATATAATTGCTGCCTTAAAGCACTTATTTTATTTGTTTAAATTTTACCCAAGCGGAATAAGGGAAACAATGTCCTCTTTACTTAGCTTGTCATAAAATCCATATTTTAAAGCATAATAATAAGAGAACTCTACCAAATCTGATGCATACTTCTGGGCATAAATGATCTAAAATACATTTAAAATGACCCCAAAGTAGATGTAAAGAAATATGATTCACATTTTTATAATACTATTAGCATTCACAACGTCCTACAGCAATCTACCTGCTACCATTTAATATCTCCCACAAATTTTTAAGCTTTGAAAGAGTGTGTATCTATTATCTACTCGCAAACAATCTGTGAAGTAGGCTGGCATTAGTTCACAATATATTAGTAGTCTGATTAGGTGGTTTCCCAATTCGCAACCTTAGAAAATGAAACAGAACATTGATGGTGTTATTTTACTTTTAACATATATTAAGATGTAAAGTCCCACCTGGAATTTAGTTCTTCAGATTCCAAACCATGTTCTGTTTACACACAAAATACAAATAATCATGTGGCAAGAAAGGAATCTGAGAGAGCATGGTACTCATTCCAGTATTCAAGTAGAACTACATGGAATCCATGCTCAGGAGAAAAAACAAAAAGCCTTGCAATTTTCTGAACAGCTCTAAAGCAACTGGCCAAAATTTTGTTTTCCAAAGCTAATTAGAACATTTTAAGATTTACGTATTCAGCAAAGGCCGTGTAAATTTACCTATTCCTATACTTATGAATAATGAATAAAAGAAAAGGAACTGGGCCACAAAATTATAGAGAAGTACACAACAAAAAAAGTATAAGATTTTTGCATACTGTTTTTTAATAAACCAAAAAACTTTAAAAAATATAAAAATAATTTATTCTGAATTACATCAAATAGCTTATATACTTTTTGAGAGCACAGTTTGCACAGCAACTTCTAATAGGTTTATTAACCCTGTAATAAAATGAAACCTGAATATCTATTGTAAGGCCTAATTTTCAGTACATATTTATAGGAGTTAATTCTGCAACCAGTGTAGCTGAGGAAGGAGTATAGAATGTGGTCAACGACTATTTTCAGGTACTAATGTGTCTCAGAGCCCTGGTTTTCATAATGTAGCTAAGAATGACAGAAATATTATACAGTGCCAGTTCTTTCTATAGTCAATCAGGATAACTATACTTTTAGTAATCAATTTAATTCACATTTAATGATATCCAAAACTGAACATATCAGTGACATGTATACATATATATATATATACACAATTTTATGCTGAAAAATATAACCTACTTATGATAACTAAAATAACAGCTTGCTTGAACTTTTAAAGCCAAATATATTACCTATCTTATCTGCAGCATATGTGTAAATAACTTTAATGTATAAGAGAGTCTCAAAGACAAGTTATAAATTCAATAAATCTTTTTTATACTAAAACTATTAAAACTTTTCCTATTTGATAGACAATGTACTATAAACTTCAAAGTAAATGGTATCTTCAATAAGCTATTAATATAGTAAAAATCACTGCTTAAATATAAAATTGGGATGGAATACAGGTATTAGTTTATGTGGAAAGTGAAAGCATAGTTTCTACATATACTTTTGTGTTAAGTGCTTGCTAAATCACAAAATTCTCAGAATGTGATTTTTTAACATATTTTGAGTAACAGCTAGACATGGGTAACATTAGAACACAGCTGCATGCAACAGAAACAGAGGCTCGTTGTCTTTATAAACTGAAACTTTAGGCAGGTAATGGATCATTATTATACTAAAATTCCTTTTAGACAAGAAGAAGTTCTATACATTTAAATTTTGCTTGAAAGTACCCCTAAAGAAAATAGTGTCGGTGGAAATAGTCAGTGAGGTAATAGTAACAAAAGTAACACGTGGACACTTACAAAATGCTTACTATGTGCCAGGCACTAATCTAAGAGATTCACATGAAGTCACCTGCTTCATTTTCTTAAGAGCACTAAGAAGTAAGCAGTATTCTCATCCCAATTTCACAGATAACACAATTGAGGAATAGAAAGTTTGAGTTTGCCACTTGAAACCAGGCAGTCTGGCCCAAGAGTCTGTATAATTTAACCTCTGCACTACAACTGCATCTCAGAATAGGAAAACAAAATCTCAAAATAATATATTTGACTTTATTTGTGGCATTTTGGAATAGTAACTCAGTTTTTATTATTACCTCATAGTCAAAATAAACTTTTTAATAAACAGATGCCTTTCACTGTCATACTTTAAGAGTTTCCCAGAATGCTTCCTCTAGATCAAAACTATTGATGAGTTTCTGTGACTCAGAGCCTTCTCAATACAGGTGATCCACCTTTTCCTACAATGGCAGACTTCAAACAAAACTCTGGCAAAATCTCTGAATCATTTTTAACCACTATCTACTTATATAATAACTACTTAAATGAAAACAATCTTACAAAGATTACAAGCACCTACAAAATATTTTCCTTTATTGTAGTAGTTACAATGTTGATTCAAACAACAAATATATTTTGTCACTAGAACATGTACTTGGGGGTATACTATAAAGTATGGCACTGTACTTGGGGTATGCTATAAAGTGTGGCACTGCCACTGGGTTCCAAAGACCCATAAATTCAATGGGTGTATCTGCAGGAAACCACAGTACAATCCACATAAAGGGTTCAGGTAATGCTTTTCATAGGTAGAACCAAAGTGTTCTGAACAATCAATGGCCTTACATTTCAACACCTAACCAAACCCATGATGACTTTAACTTCCTTCAAGAAAGAATTGTATTTTTCCCCTAGTTTAATCTACAGCTTACTGTGGGTGCTTAACAAATGATGTTGACTGACAAACAGAAAATGTTTCCTCTTTCTCCCTGGCCCCCTTTCAATCTGTTCTCTACACTGTAGCTAGAGTGACATTTTGGAAATATAAATGTGATAATGCCATCTTCCTCCCTACCATCCACACTACACTCTTTGCATTACTATTTTATCACTTTTACAGTAAAGACAAAAATACTTGACATGGTCCAGAAGGTTGTGCACTGCCTGACCCCACTCCTCTCAAGTAGGGAGTTAGAGCTCCATGCTTAAGGCATTCTCTCAGTGGCACATGCTGTGCCATCTCCTGCATCAGAATTCTGTTCCTCTGGGCTTTACCTGATTAATACTTTTCCTCTGCCTTAATTTGGTTAATTCTTTCTCACTTTTTCAGATTTCAGTTTAATAATCACTTTTTATTACGTCAGCTGACACTATTTTAAGTTTTCATAGTATCATGCACCCATCCTTCAAAATACATACCACAGTTTTAAGCTTCATTTTTTTAAAGTCAATATGCCTTCTCACTAGAATATGAGGTCTATGAAAGTAATAATTATTTCTGCACTACCATTTTATTGCTTAAGCCTAGTACTCTGGTACACAAAACAATCAGTACTTGCTGAATAAAGAAATTAATAAACAAATGAATGAATGAACAAATGAATGAATGAGTGAATGTGGTTGCCTATCTGGTCACATTCACAAAGTAATGGAAAGCAGGAGCTTTCTTAAGTCACATGTATCATACTGACATGTTCAGTGACATTAAACAATCAGGAAGCATAAGCCATACGTGTTTATGGCCATTTAAATAGAGAACATGCAAAAAAAAGTGAAAACAGTCCAATGTGGGATTTTAATATACATGACTCTAAAATGCACGAGACCTGGGGATCTGGAAATCATGAGAATTATAACTTAATTTCTTATTGATTATCCTTGTTATTCTTGTTTTTAAACTGGATAGCTATGAAATTCACTAATTCTTTCAAGTTGCTAGGGATCTATGAGTGCTCTTAAGTAGAAATAATGTTCAAGGTCATTTAGATGAGACCATAACAACGGTCCAGGCACTTAGATGAAATGAATATAAAAAAGCTATGTACCCTGTAAGCATTCATCACTCAGGAAAGGTGACATTTTTGCTTAGTTGAGTTCTGAGGCTGACGCTCAGGGTCAAAGAACATAAGTGATGCATAAATTAGTTTTGTTCTATCAGCCATTTTTACGTTTTTTTTTCCCTTGAATATAACACCTGAACCTGAAAATAATCTCAACCCGAATGAACTGGAAATCTTATTTGCCAGACGTCAAGAAAAAGGGCTTGGGAACAAATAAAAGTGTTTATGCTCTTACCCAGGTTCTGCCACTAACCTGGTCATCACACATAACCTTTCCTGGATTCTCTAACAATACATAAATAAATAAAACTTGCTAGGCTCAAACACAAAGCCAGGATGAAATTGAGCTCATTCAATAAAAATATTCTGGAAATTCATAGGTGCATAAGTTGTTTCAAGGCACTCTTGGCTGGAGGTTGGGGGAGAGATAATATTTTTATTATCTTATTATAGTCTTACTTTTTAGTAGTTCTTATTGTATTTTAAACATGAAGGCAGTTAAATGGTGTTAAAATTTTAAAAGTATTATAGTTTGGACCAGAGATAAACTGAATTTGTTTAATATTTACTTGTCTGTTTTTTTCCCTAAATTTTCTCTTAATGAAGTGAACTTATTTATTTTAAAATTAGTTTTTATGAAGAACATGGCAGACAATGTACATACTGGCTACAGGCAGAGCTTTGTTGATATTTCATCTGAATAGAAATCATCTATCCCTAGCCATTAATACATGATCTGTATTGGGAGAATCATCCATTCTCAATTAATTATTCAATAGTCACTTGACACACATGAAATAGGGAAAATAAGCAAAATGGAGCCAATCCTTCTAGGAAGACTGACTCTGCCTTTATCACTCCATCTCCCAATTCTGTGATACTCAAAAGAATCCAATCTTTTGTTTTCCTTCTACGTTTCGTGGTGATCTTTTGCACTCCATTTTCAGTTCAAATTTTCAAAGTGACTCAATGCTTCAGAAGAATCCTAATGGATTTGCTATTCTGAGTTGAATTATCCTATGTACCAGGCACTACACTGTTCAATTATGCATCTTGGTAATTCCAAATTCTTTATCTTATAGAAAGAGCTATCCATTTGCAAAATAAAATGCATTTCAGATACATCTAATTCTGCTTCTCTTTAACAAATTACTTTTTCCACTCTTAACTGTTCCTGATTATGCATGATCTCTGAATCCCTACATTAAAAATGCATAGAAAAATAAAAATTTTCATTTAAAACACCCTCCCACACAGTACAAGCTGTCATTGTGTCATATTTGTTTCCTAATTTAAGGAAGGAAGCTATATTTCATGGGTCCTTCATTAAATTGCCTTCTCTGTATTTTAAAGTGGCATTAGGATACTTAAGACAATTTTCCCATAAAATAATGTTCATTTTAAAATTTGTTTCTATTAATCAGTGCAAAAGTATGCAACTTCAAATTACAGTATGGAAATTATCATATCTACCTAGCATATTATTCATGATTCACAAGTAGATTTGCTAGAAGAAAAAAACTATCTTTTTTATTTTGTAAAACATAACTGTAAAGCCTGCTCTCATAACCATAGAAATGTACTGTTAAAGCTGAAGTGCTGTATAGGCCATGGAATACACAGTTTTCTATAATTACCTAAGCCAAAATATAATGAAAAACAAAAACCCACATGAAGACAGAGCGCAACAAAATAGCCCTTTCTTTCTTCCCCTCCTCCTAATCCTGTGAAGGCTACAGAAGTCTCCTAAAGACCAGTTTTTTTTCTTCCTAACTAACTCTCCTTGCTGTTTAAACAATTACAAATCTTATCAAGTCTTCATTTCTCTTAAAGTCAAGTGAGAGAGAACTGCCAACTCTAATAAGATTTACAAAGGCTAGTTCCCCTTAGCACTGTCAGCAAAAATCAAAGACATTATACAATAAAACGCAGCCACACAGAGCTTTTGTCCCTATAGCTTTCGAAATCAGATTTAATAATTCACCTTTTTTCACCCATTTCAGCCACAAATGCCATTTATCCATGTGTTGATTGCCTTGCTTTGACCCATAAGCTATCTACTTTAAATCCTGACATCTCCTACTTAGCCACTGATTCGTCTTTTTCACACCACTCACTCACTTTCTGTTAGAGGCTTTGCTGTATTTATACAACAGTATTTTCCTTGGTCATTGTCATGTAACAGCACCGGCAAAACACACTGAAGACCGAATTTTATTTCTAAAGAGGAGAAAAGAGAACTTAGGTATGACTTTTGTAGTTTAATGCCACACTGTTTTAAGCCCCAAGAACCACAGAAATTACAACTTGGCCTCCACTACCCAGATAAATGTCATTAGCCGAATATCCTTAGAAAATCTCTTGCAATCCCTTACATGCATCCCTGTTTATTAGTCTGCAGAAGCTTCCCAATCCAGCAACATCTAAATTTCTCTACTACTTTATTTCTCTTTATAAGGCATTTGTTAATTAAGAAATCTTATTTAATCTCTAACATTTTTAAACGTCAGCTGACCTCACACTTCAAGAAACCGCATAAATGACAAAATTTTACTTAAATTTCACAAATGTTGGACTTGGATATAACAGTGGAAACCAACATTATTCCAAAAAGCCTCCTGCTAATGAAGAAACGCTTCACATCCTCTCTTTCCCTTTTTCCACAACGAAAAGCAGGTTTTTACCGCTCTATCTGCAAAAGGCAGAGCACTGCCCGTGAACCCTGTCTTTCTCGTCCTTTACCACGAGTGACCAGAACCACGTGGGGATTCTCAACCACGGCCGTGGTATACCTCTCCTGTGCTTCATTTCTCATCAAACACATGCCCAATCTTCTAGATGCTTGTTTGCATCTTAAGGGCAAAGTCTGTGTGTTACAGATTTAGAAGTGGTAGAGACAAGTACAGTGGTCATATAGGTGGGCCGCGGCCCAATATAGGGCCCAACCTGCCAAAGAACCCGAGGAATAAGAAGAGGCCATTGTATTTGCCACTTGGAAGGGAGTAGTGTTGGTAGAAAGGTCTCCAGAAGGAACTCAAACTTGGATATGGGGGCTGCCAATCCTTAGGAGGATGTCAAGGGAGAAGCTGTGGAGGTGGTAAGGTAGAGAGTCCCCCAGAAACAAGGTCCTTCCCTCGAAGCGAACTGCCACACGTTTGCCAAGATTAGGAAGACCCCATGCACCAGCCCGGTCCCCTCCTCCCCGAGCCCCGCCCAGGCCCCGGCCCCCGTGGGTCGGGCGTCGGGCCTTACCTTGGCTGCAGTCCTTGCCGCGGAAGCCGGTTCGCGAGCAGTCGCACACGGCCTGGTCGTCCACCACGGAGCACACACCTCCGTTGAGGCACACCCCGCCCTCGCCCTCCTCGCCCGCCTCGCACGGGCTTCCCCCGCCGCTGTTGGGCGGCTCATCGTCCAGCTTCACCTCGCCGCTGTCCACGGGCAGGACCTGCGAGGAGTTGACCCTCACGTCACGAATCCACCCCTTGAAGGGCTCCCGCTCCCTCACCGAGGCCAGGGTGAGCTTGAGCGCCGCGGCGCGCAGTTCCGGGGGCAGCCCCCCGACGAAAAGGCCGCTGAACACCGTCATGTCCCTGCGCTTGGACTTGACCTCCACCCACTTGGCCTCCACCTGGTCGATGAAGAGCGTGGTGTTGCGGAACTGGCGGCGGATGCGCACGCTGTGCCAGGCGCCGTCGTTAACCGGCGTGTCGGCCAGGAGCGTCGCAGGCTCAGCGCAGAAGATGGAGAAGCTGAGCTGCAGGCGGCCGCCGCGCGTCAGAATCAGCTCCAGGAAGTCGCAGAAGCCCTCGTCGTCGAAGTAGAGCACGAGGCCGCGGGCGCTGCGAGTCTTGAGCTGGAAGCTCATCTCGCTCTCGCAGCAGGCGTTCCACTTGGGGAAGCGCGTCCATTGGCCCTCGGCGCCCGGAAACTCCAGCCCGCTGCCCAGCTCCGCCCAGCAGCCCAGGAGCAGCAGCGAGAGGCACAGAAGAAAACAGCCCCCGCGCTGGAGCAGCGCCGTCCCCATGCTCGGGGCTGGGGTGCGGCGGGGGGGTGCCGGGGCCGACAGGGTCAAAATGGTCCTGGACACCGTGACGAAGAAATAAGGGTCCCGAGAGACAGAAAGGTAAGGGGAAAGGCGGGAGTGAGAGGGATGTGCCCTCCTTTATCTAGTTCTTTTTTTCTTCTTCTTCTTCCAATAACCCCGCCCTCTCTCCCTGTAGTCCTCTTCCAACTGGAAAACGTTGACCCCAGTGGTACAGGGTAGCCACAGAACTTCCAGACCAAAGGGAGGATGCACTTTGGAGACAACGTTCTGGAAAAGGCTTCAACAAAAGATCAAGGGAAAGCACTGACCCATTTGAGTCTGATTAACTAATTTAAGAGTATCTGCAGTGTCAACAGATACTTAACTCCTCAAATCCCATTATCTGCCAGGTTCCACCAGTGGTACCAGGCCAAAAGGAAGCAGTGAGAGTCAGTAAAAAGAAAACACTTTTCTCAAGAAAGTACAGGAAGCCAGCAGTGAGCCAGTATCCTTGGATGCTTGTGAATGCCTCAAGTCTGTCTCCTTCAGATGTGGTGTCTTACAGCAGAACGGAGAAAGGGATGCTTGCCTCTTTAGGGCACCATTTCTTAACCCGAGGATAGCTTCAAAGGCCTGCTTCTTCTGTCATAGCATGGGCTTCAGCACCGCTGCAGCCAAAGCCTAATTCCTTGTGCGTGGTCTCACAAGTTGGATTTTACTTCTCTTTTCAGCCACGGCAACAGTAGGACTCAAACCCAGCAGTTGCGAAATAGCCAGAAGCTGTTAGATGTGGAAATCGCAACAGCTCCTCTTCTTTTCTCTCTGCCTCTGCAGGGCCAAGCTAAGATGCCAGCACATCAATTGGTTGTGTGTTGGTGATGCATTTTGGTTTTATCTTGTCTTTTTTAAGGACTCAGACATCTGCAGAGAATTAAAGTCAAAATTAAGGTCTAAAGTCAATATAGTATTATATAAATCATTATTCAGCTCATAACACAAGTGTAGACCTGGTCCTATTAGTAAGGCAAAGAGTTAACCTTCTTGTATGGAGCTTTTGTTATCCTCACTACAAGTAAGTCCTAACATTTTCTAATAGTTAATATGACACTTTTACAGTCAGCCATGACACCCTTGTAGTTTATTATAACTGTTAGTTGGTAACCCGAAGTTTTAAAGAGAAATTTGATTATGGTTATCTTTTTCTTTTCGCAAGATAGTTTAATTTTTAAAATATGTGAGGGGAGAACAAATGCTTTTAAGGATTTCTACCTATGTTGTGTGCTTGTTCTGTGGACAGTAAAAATACAACCTATTCAAATCTCAGTTAAGAGATTTTACAATTGGCAAATTAGATTAAACTGTTGGCAGGAAGCTGCCAGCTTAGACTTGTATAGCATTCCTGCCATTTTATTTTTCTTAGAAGGAATATTGATGGTTTCTTGATAGTCTCTTGCAAAATTTCACACAAGTATAGTTCTCCTTTATATTAATGAATAATCTGTTGTAAAAGAAAACCACTAATTGGAGCCAGATTTATGTTTTTGGCATTGTCTCAATTGCCCTAATATTAACTTCTCTAAAGGTGCATAAAGTATTTAATATTTTGCCTAAAAGTGTAGATCTAACTCCTCCTGAAGTCTGTATCTTGCTGTCAGCCCTCACAATTTGTGTGGTCAGAAGAGCTGTTGGCATGTATGTCATCTCAGCTGCAGTGGCTCCAGGATGCTAGAATTTAAAACCGTACCTTTGAATCACTCACTATACTATTAAATCACTTCTCTTTATTCAACTCTAATCTGACAGGTTCTTGAAATGGTACAGAAATCATAATCACTGATTTTTTTCCTAAGTCATTTTTTAACCAAAAAATTACTCTTACCTTTTGAAAAAAATTACAAATGTATAATCTGTTCATGTCAAGGAAGTGCATTATTTTTCTCACTATTTCTTATATTCCCCACCTCTTGCAAACACACACACTGCAATATATATACACCATACACACATGCACACACACACCCCAAATTTATTGTCTGGATGTAGAAGCTCACTACCCAATTAACACTTTTTTTCCCTTACAAGCTGAAACTAGCAGTAATTTATGGCACCGCATTGTGCTGCTGCTTCTCCATGGGGGGAGCTGAGAGCATTTCTCTTCAGTACAGAGCAATCCCCACAGGTGTCAGCTGAGAGCCACCAAGCTAGGGTATCCCACTTCAAGTTCCTCCCAGATGAAATTGATGACTGGTTCTCTCTCTTTCAACACACACACACACACACACACACACACACACACACAGTGTGGGTGTGCGCACATACACACTGCCCACTAGCAAAAGGAAATAAAAATCTCAGTTGCTTATTTATTATGGCTGATACATTCCACACCATCAGCAATCACCAGTCATATCTTGTCTTCTCCTATATCAAACCCGAGGAAAGAGGCTCGTCAAATCATCTGAAATAGCATATTATTCAGTATACTTTCATATTTTAAGTGGACTCAGGAATCTGCTAAATTTTCAGTCATTTGCAAAATAAATCTGGAATATCATGATCAAGAGTAGTGCTTTGAACCCTTTCTCAAGCTCATGTGTTAGAAAACCTTTTTTTTTTTCTTGTGTGTGTAACTCTGTTGGAGCCAATTATTGTATTAATTAATGTTACATTGATCACATAACCTTTTTTCTCCCGTCCCTCCTGCCCTCCTCCACTAATGCACACCTTGACAATTTTAAGGGATGGTGGAAGAGAGAAAAACCGTAGAGCAATATATATGTACATATAGATATATATACATTCTTATCACAGGGAGGTTAACTGGTTTTCCCAGTTCTTGGAGGAAGCTCATTGTATGTGAGCGAGTATCTGTATTTATATGGAGAAAAGAGGATTCTCTCTAGGTGCCAGAAAGACCTGGCCAGTTCACAAATTAGAGGATGAAATAAAGGGATCTGAAAAACATCCTTACTGCAGCCAAAAGAAGAAGCGCTCTAATTCAAAAGCAGACTAACAGCATCATTAATCTTTTCTTTCATTTCTAGAATCAAATTCATCCCAAGTCACTAGGAGGATCAATACAGTACGCTCATCGGCTGCAGTTGCATATTTTAATGTTTCTGATATCACACACACATACACACCTACACCTTTCCATGCACCCTTCAATATATATATATATCTTCATAAAGAACATGAAATCTCTGAGAGAAATTTTAGAAGTGCTTATTATTTCACCCCTGGCTTTTGCAAAGTCTCTCAATACCAATGCACAGCCAAAATTCTCTCTGGCTTTCCCGCCCAGTCTCTAAGCTCCATCTCTAATACCAGTGCAGTTTCTTGGAGCTCGGGGTCTACTGCACAAATTAACGATGGGCACAGTGTGGGGCTGATGAGGTAGGGAAGGAAATATATGGAGAGATATTTTATTGCTTTGATATCTAGCCTGTCTCTTATTTTCTTTCTTTTGCTAATACATCACTGCATTCAGCCTTTAAGTTACTACCCCAGTTCCACCATCTCTTCTTGCCATCTATTTAAAAGGCTTCATGCAAAACAACCAAGATCTACACTCCTCCACCCTCCCACCACCCATCTTTCCCTGTGTATTTGTGGCAGATCCTGGCTCAGTTACAATGGGGAAAGATATCCTTCTTCAGCTTGCCTCGCCCCATCCCCTCCCCCCAACCCAAATTGAGCTTCTTTACCTGCCCGGTTATTCCCCTCAGCTCGAGCCAGAGCCTGAAGCATGCATCGGTCAAAGCGAATTTCCTGAGGTCTATGGATAAGGCGACTGCTGCTGCCTTTTCAGAGGCGTCAGGCTTGAGCGTCTATCTCCAGGAGTGCGGGAGGGGAGAACAGGCAACGGAGGGGAGCAGGAGGAGGAGGAGGAGGAGAAGGAGGAGGAGGGGGAGGAGAGGGAAAGAGCTGGGAAGGAAAAGGCGGTGGTGGAGCCTGAGAAGGCTGGGTTACGTGACGCCGGGTGCTGTCCTTCTGAAAGAGAAGGGCGGAGCTGAGCTCTCCGCAGTACCATGGAGAGCGGCGGGCCCGTCCTTTGGCTGGGGAATGGGTGGGCTCGGCCCGTGGTCGCAGCCCCTCCAGGTCTGGATGCTGCGGAGCGAGGTGCTTTTACCTTTGCATCGTCCCCTTGCAGGGGGAGCCTGATCCTGGGGGCGGGGACCTTCCGCAAGCGCTTCTAACTTGTCACCACCCTCTCTTCCCCATCGGAAAGAAAGAAAGAGAGAGAGAGAGAGAGAGAGAGAGAGAGAGAGAGAGAGAGAACGAACGAACACGAACCAGAGAACCACGTAGCCTACTGAGCATGCCCAGGCCCCTGCTAGACCCATGGAAAGCTGTATGGAGATTCCACTTCTCCGGGGTTTGGTAGTGATTGGGCGGGGATACCTGAGAGGGTGCCAGGAAAGGGTCCAGCAGTCAAAGAGAAGGGGCCAAGGAGTCGATAATTATGATGAGCTCTGGCTTTACTTGTGCACCTTGGTCTCCTGCTCGGAACCCTTGAAAAGAAGCTGCAGCTTTTCGAGGAATGCAGGGGCAAGCAAGACTCACACAGGCACTGGCATTCTTCTAGATCCGATGTCCCTTGCCCCACCCCTTACTGTGGCTCTGCCTTGGGTAATCACAACAAATCTTCATGACTTGCCTAGGCTGTGCCAAAAAGATGTAAAAGGAACCCACCAGGGTAAGATGCCAACTTGCAGACGACGATCAACTGTGTCTGACAAGGTGCTTTTTACTGCAGCCTGTCGTCATTCTCCAGCCTTCTGTGCTCTGTCTTGAACCAAGTTTTCTACCTGTTTAACTCTTCCCTCCGTCTCCTCCTCCCTTTTGCAGCTGGTAAAACCTGGTGAAAGTAAAACTGGGTGTGAGGCTCTAACCATGCAACTGGGCATGCCCAATAGGCATTGCTGGGTTTGGTGAGAAAGGGGTTAAATCTAAGGGAGCTTACAGATTAGGTGGTAGAGGAGTTCGGGGTCTGTGGCTTTAAATTATGGTTTGCACCCTATGGACATTTAAATTCCTATTCCTGTATATTCCTAGCCTGGGTTAGTTTTGGAGCAGATACAGACATTTTTATTGCAACGCCACAGACCTAATAGTCTGAACCTCAAATACTGTAAGGCAAGACTATTTTTGGCCTCCAGGCCCTATAGAGCAAGAATTTAAGAACTAGATAAATTTGGGAACATCAAAATAATATATATTACAATTACAATATGTATATTCTTCCAAAAAACTAGAACTCATTCCTATGATAAGCCGATTTATACTTTCACTACTTTTGTAAAAGGGTCTAAATAACCTGAAGGCGGGTATCACAGGTTTTAATATGTTTATCGCCCTTAGAGAGGCAGTTTTGTCAAGTGGTTACATGTTTGGGAAATAGATTGTCTGAGCTTCAATTCAATCTCTGCCATTTATTAGTTGTAACCTCAGCAAGATACTTAATCTTATGCTGCCTCAGTCACCTCATCTGTAAAATGGATATAATAATAGCTCCCTCTTCATGTGTTTGATGTTGTGAAGATGAAATGAATAAATAAACATAACATATTTGGAATTGTGGATTCCAAATTGTGGAATTTTGGCTATATTTATCAACTACAACCCACTCTGTGTTCTGTTTGACTCAATGGAAGGAATTTCTCTGAAACTCGAATTCTTTGACTATAAAATAGAGGTATTAGTCATTGTCAGCTTATTCCATAAGATTGCTTTGGGAATGTAATGAAATAATAGCTGTTAACATGATTCTTAAAACAAAAATTTAATTTTAAATGATGTAAAACTAAGACTCAGAAAATTACTTATCTAAATTATTCATTCAGTGAACTTGAAACAAAAAAACAGTCTAGTTAATTCAGGGCCTTTTTCAATTTTTCCTACCATTAGGTTATAGGACAAATAGTACAGAAGGTACACCGCGATGTGTTTAGTATAGAGCTAAAGCTTATTGCAAAAGTAAGTGGAATGGACAGCCCACTTTCAAAAATCAAGTCTAACTTGGTTCCATGATGCTCTTAAGATCTGGTGTGAACATGCATCAGTGAACATTATGGTAGTGCTAGAGGCACTCTTAAGAGTCAAAGCACTGCCTTTTACCTGGATTCATAAAAACTCATTATTTACCACCAGTGCATGTGATCTGAACAATTTCCTACTTTATTTCATTTCGTCTTTGTGAATTTTTATTTTATCTTTAATTGGGCTACACAGTGTTTCCACTGAATCAAGGTTTTCCTTGAGATGTCTTCTGTGGTGTTTTGATTTAAAAAAAATGTTGACATTCTTATGCTGCATGTGTGAATTTTCAGATTAAAAAGACCAGTGTTCCCACATCTCTTCACCACTGCCTCCCTGACACACACACACAAACTATATAAACTGAAGGAATAGATGATGTATTGGAGTAATCCCCTTTGCAATCAGGTTTAAGGTACTTACTGTATGTAGTCCAAGGAAGTGGACAGCCCCAGGATCTTTTTTTTTTCAGTAAATATGCATAGAGAAAAGTATCAGTTTGTAGCTTAGAATGCAAATATCACAACATAATTTAATGATAAAAGTTGTTAATTTATTTTAAAGTATGAGTTTTTCTGTTGTTTCTCCATAAATTACTTCAACTCTCTAAGTGGCAGTTTTGTCATCAGTAAAATAAAGATAATGGCATCTCCATTTATATGACTTGGTGGAGATAATGTCAACATTGAATGTTAATTTTGTGCCTACTCCTCGCCAAACAGTGCTCCAAGTGCTTTACTTACATTAACTTATTCTAACCTCACAGCAACTCTAAGAGGTAGGTTCTAGGATTTCACTCATTTTACCAATGAGAAAAAGTGAAGCATAGAGAGATTAGTCCAGATAGTCAAAGTCTAGTAAGCAAGCAACAGTGTGAGGAAAAATCCAAACTCAATTCTGTAATCTTAACCCCCTTGCTACACTGACTTTGAACGGATCATCAGATATACGTAGCAAAGTGCTTGGCAGAATGCAGATGCCCGTAATTGTTCATTCCTTTTCCTTTCTAAGACTTTCATCAAGAGGAGTCTAGGAAACTAAACAGTCAACTCCAGAATTTTGCCATAACATTCCTTAATGACTAATACTGTATGAAATATATGATATTCATGTACTTTGTTACATATTATAGGTGACGTGTTTTCAATGTTACTACCTTTTTTGTTTGTTTCTGGGCAAGATGTGAGGTGATTCCTGTAGATCTGAATTTGAAGCAATCTAACATTTGTAAGAACAATCTAGTATTTTTCTAGAAGGTGGGAAGTAGGATTAATTCCTCCTGAATCACCTTAGGGAATCTACTAATTTTAGGCTACAGAAATATGTTAAGGATTTCAACTCCTGCCCCTAGCTACCACTCAGAACAAATGAGGTAACTGCGAAATCAAGGTGCTTGTTTATGATTATGTCTGATTGGGAGAATTTGTGGCAACCCAAATATGGAAACATAAATAATATCTCATGCCATAAACTGGTAAACATTTTGCATCAATGAAAATGGAAATGCATGCTCACCTAAAGCAAGTATATTTCCATAGGTTATTAATATTAATGAGAATTCTAACATGGAGACTAATGCTACACTAAAAATAAATGAAACTAAGTAGTAAGATTTTTTTTGACTGAGAAACGAATGCAGCAGAGATGCTCTGTGTTTATTGCTGCAATCAGACCCTGTGCTTTAACATTAGGAAATCAATGTAAACACCTACTTTCTCAATTAACATTAAGGTAAAGTGGAAGCTTTGAGATACCTATGAATTCCAATATTGATATCAGTTATGAAGGGTGCTTTACTGATATAAGGGGTAGAAGAAGAAACACATGGTAACAATGAGGAAAAATACCAGTTGATATACATTAAATGCATTTTCACTTAAGATGAGAAACAACTCAAAAAAAACAGTAAGATTTATCGCTGAGGGGATTTTCTATTTACTGTCCTATAGATGATCAAAATGAAGCCACTTTTACTAAAATAATCACAGTATCAGGAAAATATTACGTGCTAATTCAACTAAATTTCAGATTGCTATCAAATTTCTCTAACCAATTACATTATCAGTGCTGCACAATTGGAATTCTATTGTTTAGCTCATGACTTTATTTTAATAATATAATCCATTTTTTGTTTGCAGTTAAATGTCTCTAGTTTTCTTTATATGAACCAATTAGAGTTTTCTGGTTACAAAAGTTTAAGAATAGATATTGAACATGCTGCCATATAAAATTTATTTTACAACTAGATGAATTTAAAAATGCAAGGAAATGTAATCAAGTCTAGGGTTTGAGACTCAGCTATAAAATGGAATAAACAGACTAGGATTTACATGTACAAAAAGACACATAATTTCCTATTAAGCTTACTAAGTAACTTTCAGGAGAAATAAGCAAACTCAGTATGTTAAATACTTTCTTACTACTTGAAAAAATCTTAAACATAGTAAAATTAGGCTACTTTTCCTTGAGTATGTAAATTTTCTGTAATCAGAAGGTAGAATGTGATTTAAAATGGCTGCAAATCATTAATGTAATGATAATTATTAAGGTATCAAGCAGCAGTAGAGAAAGCACGTAGATAGGTCCTTGAGAACAGTAGTTAAGTTTTGAACGATGCACCTGCTAGAAAGGCTTCAATGTGGAAACCCTGCAGCGTGTTTGATGGGCAGTGTTTTTAAATCTAGGGCAGCACTTACACCTGAGTGTGTTCCTCTGTGTTTACTTCCACCCCTCCTTCCCCCACAATGAGGAAAAATCTTTCTGAGGAAGAATAGCTGTCGCTAGATGAAGTCTGTGAAAAGTCCCTGCCAGAGGGTTTATGTTTCCTCGATCAGTGATTTAGTTGCACACTTCAGCCTGTCATTATTACCCCCTCTAATGACTTATTTCTCTTCTTGTGAACAGAACTTTCTTCCCCACAACCTAACTCTACACTCAAGCCTGCCATTCTCAACTGCTAGGCTCCAGAAAAGGAATTATCTCATTCATCACAATGTGGCTTCCAATTTATTTTTATTGGGTGCCTGCAACTAGTTAATCTGTTTAATTTAGCCAGTGCTATTTAATATTCCTTACTATGACTTTTAAGAAAAGAGCAAGGGATTTGTGATGAGTTATGGATGTCAGTGAAATTCAAGAGTCTTATTATAATATCTTTGCTTCTTTTTAGCCTATTTCTGCCCCCTAGAAATCTGTGGAATCAATTTTCTGTGATGGCATCTCGAAACATTTTGTGGTTTGCTTTTAAAACACATCCTATTTGATTTTATGTTGGGCTTATGGATTTTTAAAAATATTCAATTCTTACCAGTTTTCCAGCTACTGCCCTCCTCCTACTTAATATAGCTTTAAACCTCATTTTTTTTTCAGAGTTTTCTTCTCATTTTTGTTTGCCTTTCTCATCCATTTGTCCTACTTACATTTTTTCATTTAATACTACAGACACCCACAGAGATAGATATCTTAAGAATACAGAAAGTTGTAGATATTTTATTGTAACTTCACAAATTAGAGCAATAATACCCGCATTTTATGTAAAAAAAAAAAAATCTTAGGTTTTTGAAGAGACTCGTGAAGCAGAATAGGGAAGAGTTTTATTTTGATAAGAGTTTTTCTCTTGCTGAGGAAAGAAGATCAGTGAAATAGGAATAAACTACATCCTTAAGTATATGCTTGATGTACACATCCCATTGAATGAAGTTATAGTACAGTAGAGGCACTTTAATTTTCTCTAGAACAAGGAGAGCAGACTGCAATGCTTAACAGTGTCTGGTGTTTGACATACATGAGTGAGGTAGGCAAACTGGGAAAACAATGAGGATTGGCAGACAGTGTGGACACCTAAAATGTTCATACTTCTCTAAAAATGGCGTTCACTCTGCGGCCGCAACAGCTTGTGACCATGTGAGTCTGGTGTTGCCAGATCCTACGATTTTACAAGAGCAGCTGGAAATCTGAAATGTTATGTAAAATCTTCTGATTTTAAAATCTTGGCTTATTAAAAAATAATCACCACTACTACCACAATACTGTGCAGGACAAAATAGACTTCTCTGCTGGTTGGAAATGGCACACAGCCTACCAGTTTGTTCCCTTCACAGCTTTGTATACACGTACACATGCAAACTCATAATCATGGGTGGTTATTCTCTCTAGTAAACATTTCAAAAGATTGATTTACATGTTCTAAATTCAGCCAAGCACATAGGATAGATAAAACAGTACAGTTGCTATTAAAAGTTGACCTTTAGAACATGAAGATAATTGTTTTGAGTAGTTTGGTATGTTACAAGAAGCACTGAATTCTGAGTTATATGTGTTTCTAGCTGCAGCCTTATTACTTGCTTTGTATGGCAACAGAGACAAATCTCTTAGCTTCTCCTATAGTAGTACCTGCATGATATATGTTGGGAGTTGAATTGTCCCCCTAAAAGATATGTTGAAGTCTTCACCTTATCTATGAATGTGACTATTTGGAAATAGGGTCTTTGCAGGTGTAATCAAATTAAGATAAGGTCATACTGGATTAGGGTGTGCCCTAAATCCAGTGACAGGCATCTTTAAAAGGAGAGACACATTTGAAAACACAGAGGAGATATAAGAAAGAGAATCATGAAGACAAAGACAAATTGCAGTGATATAACTATATAGCCAAGAAATGCCAGGTAATGCCAGCAACCAGCAGACTACTCAAAGAGAGGCATGGAACAGATTTTTCCTAGGGAAAGAACCAACCTGGCTGACACCTTGATTTTAGCCTTCTAGCCTCCAGAATTCCGAGAGAATAAATGTTTTATTGTTATAAAAACCACCCAGTTATATTTTAAACCACCCAATTTGTGATAGTTTATGATAAACCTGGGAAACTAGTACAGGATGCATGATAGAGGATGGAAAAATATAGTTATGCATAATACTATTATAAGAGACCATTTGGCAGATGATTTTACATATATATTTCTTTATCCATTACAACCTTGAAAATTAGACATTCTCTCTCTCTCTCTCACACACACACACACACACACACACACACACACACACACACACAGGCTTGCTCTCACTTTCATTCTCTTTGTCTTTCAACCAACTATGGCTTGGAGATGCTACCCATCTTGCCTTCAAACTTGTAGACCGCTCCTGATAGAGTGAGGACCAAATCTTTCTGAAACTAAAGTCCATATTCTTGTTCACTGTACCATTCTATTGTGGTACTTTTCAAATGTAGAAAACTATAAATATAAGATACAGACATTATTCTAGAGTCTACTTTTTGAGAAATTGAATATAAGAAGAGAAATCACAATAGAGACAGCAAGAATACGTCACCCTAAACAGATACATCTCGATACATTTTAGGTAGAAATAAATCTTGGATAGTGCGGGACAATTCTCCAGGAAGCTTTTAATGCACTGAGTTCCCCCTGCCTTTTTCTTCTAGTTCTCAAGAATAATGACAGAATTTGCTGAGAATGCAATATCTTGAAATAGAGAGGAATGCGTGAAATAGCCCAGGCCTTGGCTCCTGTTCCCCCTAGGAAATATAACATCTTCAGTTATGAATTAACTGCCTGGGACAGCCCAGGCTTTGCTCCTCTCTCTCCAGGAAGTAGGACGTCCTTCAAATTGTTGCCCAGTGAGTTCCATGGCCCTTTAGATATATAACCCAGGGCGGACTGCCTTTTAAGGTCTGTCAGCTGTGGGGCAAGTGGGCCACTCACAGCCAAGGCTCCATCCATTCTAGGCAGTTTTCTTGGGGCTTGGGGGACCTGTTTACAATGGATCCCAGGCATCTGTTGTCCCTTGCTTCCGATTTGTAAATAATAAATCTCCATCATGTAACTTGTTGTTTATGAGTGTGCTCTGTCTCATCAAACTCAGACAAGTTGGTAACCAGTGCAAAGTGAACCTGCTTTCCAAATAGGATGTTAGGATAAGAAAAAAGGAATATTCTAGATTTCTAGTGATTTAATACTGGCAGTATGTTTAAATAAACGTATTTATTATAAAATAACATAATACAAGACAGAAAACGTAAGTCTTGATCTTGATGAATTTCAAAAGATGAACATACCCTTATGACTTTCACCAAGATAAAATATTAGAATATTAAACTCCTATTCCTTCTAGTCATTTTCTATTCTCTCCTCCATAAATTTAATTAATAACTTGATTTCAAACTACCAAAACTAATTTTGCTTGTTTTTGCTATCTAGATAAGTGGTATAATTCAGTATGTTCTACTCTGTGTCCGCCTTCTTTTGTTCAACTTTATGTTTGTGAAATCCATCCATGTTGCATGCAGCAGTGATTTTGTTCATTGTCAATGTTGAATTCAGTTTTATAAATTTACCAATATTTATCTAGTCAATTGTTGATAAACATTTGTATTGTTTTCAGTATTGGACTCTTACAAATAATGTCTTATAAACATTGTACATGTTATTTGTTGCAAATATGTACACAATTCCACTGGGTTCATGCCTAGGAATGGAATTGCTGGGTCATGGGTTAATTTTAGTAGTTGTTGACAAAGAGATTTCCAAAGTTGTCACTATTTATACACTGAAAAACAGTGTGTGAGAATTTCTCTCTTTCTGGCCAAAAAAATTTATCAATCATTTTAATTTTAGATATTCTAGTTGGTTTCACTGCTATCTCATTAACATTTTATTTTTTAATTTCCAGATGACCAATTATGTTAGGTACCTAATTCATGTATTTATAGGCCGTTAGGATATCCTCTTTTAAAAAGGGTCTATTCAAGTCTTTTGCCCATTTTTAAATAATTTGATTACTTGTCTTTTAAAATCAATTGTAGGGACTCTTTACATTTTCCGGGTATGATTGCTTGTGCAGTTATATGTATTAAAATATTTCCCCCATCTGTAATTAACCTTTGTTCCTTCTTCATTTTTTTGATAAACAGAAAACTTAAATGTTAATGTAATTCAATTTGTTAATATTTTCCTTTGTAGTTATTGTTTCATGTGTCCTGTTTAAGAAAATCTTCCTATCTTGATATATATTCTCCTGTGTTACATTGCAAAAAGTTTTTAATTTTAATCCTTCTCACTTAGATTAATATTTCCTCAGGGAGTATTTTTTACCCATAGGAATATCCAATTAATACAGAATTATATATTGAAAAGGCTATAGTGTATTCATTATTCTACAGTGTCAACTTTATCAAAATCTATTTGATAGATTTTATATTTTATATCATTATTCATTTATATTTTTGTCTCAATGAGCTTTTATAATGAATCATAATATTTTGTAGCTTTTAATAATTCAGCATTATGCACGTTTATTATACTTCATATATATATACTTTATTAGATTAAGTAAATTCCTTTCTAATCCCAATCTGCTAATATTGGTGAAATCCTTCAAATACTGTTTCAACATTTATTGAAATAATCATATAATTTGTCTTATTTCTTTGGTTAATGTGATGAATTACACTGGTTATTTTTGAAATTTTGACCATTCTTAAATTCCTGGCATATGCATTTCTTGTTCATCATATATTACTCTTTTATTAATTTTCTTTGGTAATATTGTATATAGGATTTCTGCCAAAATCCAGAAAGAAAGTAGCCTACAATTTGGGAGCAGGTTTACACTATCTTTATAAAACAAGATGGAAAGTATTGTGGGTTTCTTTTCTATTCTGTGGAAGAGTTTACGTAATAACGTTATTGTTTTTCTCATCACATTCTTAGTAGAATATTCACTAGTGAGATCACATAAGCTAAGATTTTATTTTTTCCTATTCATAGAAGATTTCTACAGATGCTCCATTTCCTCTGGTATTAAGTAATTTTTTTATTCTCTCTTTTTACCTTTATTAATGTTACTAGGGAGTTATTAATTTTAATTATGTTTCCTAAGAATCAATGATTGTTTACTTTTTTTTCTTTCTTTTTTTTTTTTTTTTTTTTGAGACGGAGTCTCCCTCTGTCGCCCAGGCTGGAGTGCAGTGGCACGATCTCGGCTCACTGCAAGCTCCGCCTCCCGGGTTCACGCCATTCTCCTGCCTCAGCCTCCCGAGTAGCTGGGACTACAGGCGCCCGCTACCACGCCCGGCTAATTTTTTGTATTTTTAGTAGAGACGGGGTTTCACCGTGTTAGCCAGGATGGTCTCGATCTCCTGACCTCGTGATCCGCCCGCCTCGGCCTCCCAAAGTGCTGGGATTACAGGCGTGAGCCACCGCGCCCGGCCAACACTTTACATTTTAAGGAGCAAATGTTTTATGTCTGCCAGATCAAGTTTATTTACCATATACTTTATATATTCTAAATACTTCACATTCTGTAAAAGTTTCTTTACATATTTTGTTATAAATACATAACCTTCATGTATTTTTTCTTTATATATTTGTTTAATTTGTTTAATGAAAAATTAGATGGTTATATATTCCTGGTAGATGAATGTTTTAAACATTCTGTTGTATTCCTTTTCATCTGTAGTGATACAGCTTGCCTTAAAGTTAATTTTATCAGATATTAATATTGCTAACCCAGATATATTTTGGTCAGTTTCCATAAGGTATATCTTTTTTATGTTTTGCCTTAATCTTTCTGTATGTTTTAATTTATTATACTTCTTTTATAAATTGCATTTGGTTGACTTTTTAAATTCCATATGAAAGTCTTTGTCTTTTACTTGGAGTTCTTTGTCTATTTACATTTAAAGTCATTACTGATACATTTGAGTATGTATGTAGCATCTTACTATTTATGTTCTTATCATCTCCTTTCTTTTATTACATTTGTTACTTAATATTTTCTCCTGTAGGAGCATTTAGTGGTTTCCTAGGAGTATAGGATGAGTGATCAATTTATCAGAGTCAAACATAAATTAATACTTCCAGGACAATGCAAGAACTTTTAAATTTTTAAAATTCTTTTGCCCTTTTCTGATTTTTGTGCTATTGTTGTTTTTATTATATTTCTACATTATAATCCATAGCTCACTACAATGATTACTTCATAGGTCAATATTTATTTATAGTTATTCATATATATATCTTTTCCTTTGCTCTTCATTCCTTCTTTTACTTACTTGCTTTCATTGAACTTATTTTTTTTTTGTATGAAAAATTCCCTTTGTTATTTCATTTAGTTTGTGTACCTGTGGAGTGTATTTTACAAAACACTCATTTTGGCATTCATTTTGAAAAGAAAACTATACTGGATAGAATATTCTAGTTTGGACATTATTTCTTTAAGCATTTAAAAAATATCCCAATATTTTCTGGCTTCCACTTAGTATGTTGAAATGTCAGCTCTGCAGTTTTATCATTGCTCCTTTAAGCTAATGTGTCTTTCCAAGGCCTTTTCCCAGGTCCTCCTCTCCCAGCCCCATGGTGGTTTTTAAGACCATAATTTTAGGCGTTTTTACTGTGAGCATTTAAGTGATGGTTTTCTTTGTGTTTTTCCTGCTTATGGTCTTTCTAAATATTTAAGCTTATATTTTTCTTTGGTTTTGGAAAATTCATAGCCAGTATCTAGTTTTATATTGCTTGATCCCAACTAATTATCTCCTCTTTTTGTTTGGACTACAATTGCATGTACGCTGGATAACTTCACCACGTTCTATATGTCTCAAGTACACATGCTTTTTCTTCTTCTTTTCTATATTTTTTTTTTCTTTTTTTGCTTCAGTCTTGATATTTTCTATTAACCATTTATCTAACTTACTAATTTTCTGTTCTATTGATTCTAACCTAGTCAATTTATTCAGTTATTTAAACCAGTGGTTGTATTTTTTCCAGTTATAGGATTTCTATTTGATTACTTTTAATGATTCCGGTCCCATTATTTGATAATATTTTTCCTCATATTATCTATTTTTTAAACATGTTAATTATAATTATTTGGTATTTTATATCTGATAACTGCAATGTCTGAATGACTTATTTTATTTTTGCCTCCTTTTTTAAAACTTTCCTTTTCTCAATCATTTGGTTTCATGTGTCAAATACCTGGTAATCTTTGATTGAATGCCACCTTCATTTTGTTTTGAGTTCTCGACCTTTAACCTAACTTAAATGTCATGAGCATAACAGCATTGCAGACTGTCAGGCTAATCACAATATACTGTAGATATCTTTGCCTAGCAACTCTTGGTTGTCTGAGTTGCTCTCGGAGCAACCAAACTAAAATATTTTAAGATTTTTCTAAGACTTTAAGATTATTTAAGATTAGAGGCTGGCACAGTTTTTTTTTTTCAAGATTAATCTAGTTCTTGATCAGAGAATTGGTCTACATAAGCCATTCTATCTTCACTAGAAATAGAGATTCAAATACTATCTATTATCTGTGTTATTAAAGAAAGTTCGTGGCATGTCAGGGGATGGATTTGGAAATGACTTTTGGAAGACATTAAGGCCTGTGAAGGCCTTGCTCTATATTCTACCTTCTGTAACTACTAAATAAAGAGCACAACCTATAAAGTCCTTTCATTCTGACAGAAGTTAGAATGTTTTCCTCATGGCATAGGTAGCTTTGTGCAGATTTTCTTCCAATAGCAAATTAATCTATGTGCAAACAGTTGTGCTTTTTATTTCTTTTGTAAATTTTCAATCATTTTTAAAATGTGCAAATCAGGCATTGCTGCCCAATGTGTAAATTATTAATGTGTACCTAGGTTAAGGTACATAGAACTATTTCCTCTAAACTATAAACTGTGAATACATTTGACTTCAATATAAAAACAGTTCAGTTATGACACTATCATGTTTATAAGCACTGACTTTTGTTTTAAAACCATCCATCATCAATTGAGTAAGAGTGAGCATGCCTTTTCCTGCTTTCCATTGCTGTGCTCCCCAGAGTAATCCAGGGGATTCTCACCATAAAAACTGAAATTATTCTGTAAATACTATCTGCAGGATAGATGGATTCTAGAATAATCATGTCCCGAGTTGTGGACACGATATTGTGAAATGTTCTAGTTGCTGGTGATTTCTTTTAAGGCAACTGGGGAAAAACTGTTTGCTTCTTGAGGAAAGTCACTATGTGTAGCTTGTTTGCTTGTTTCCTCAGAATCTCACACTGTGCCTACCATGTGGTAAGTATGCACTCAATAGTTGTTTAACGAATGTACAAAAAGCAGAATTTCTAGATAATGCTTAAAATGTAGACTAATAGTTATTAAAGTTTTGGCCAAATGTGAGTAAAAATAATATGTAAATCAGAGTCCATTGTTTCTTATTAAATTACCAAAAAGACATGAGGCAAAAGTAAGAATCTCATATCCTCAAATAATACAGGATTTCTAGAACTTTGTTATTTCTTTTGCTGAAATGAGCTGTATTTGTTGATATAAGATGTCTACTTTTAGAAATTAGGATGAGTTTGTTTAGTATTTCTAATGTTTTATATTTCATAGAAATTCATGATGGAACCAGTAAAACTATTGAGAACTTTCTGTAATACTTTTACTTTTTGAGAAAGCATTTGAAATAATAGAATTATGAAGCTTGAAATTACCTAAAGTAGACATTCTGTGCATTTTTCCTGCACTGCGTAGGACAATACCATAAATACTTAATATAGAAGTATCAATTTTAATTTTTAATGTTTCTGAAAAGGGGAGATCCATTATTATATAAAATTAATGCAATCCAGGGCATTATAATCCTTATAAAGCAAAAAATTTTTGCTTAGGTTTCAACCCAAAAATCTTTCTGCTGGCATTAAGATATTAATATTTTTGATAGTAAGAACTATTATAGTATTTTATATGTTTTGAAAGTCAAAACAATCTGATAATAGAAAAATCAAACAACACATATTTTACAGGATATTAAAAGCACCCAGATCAGATTTCTAGACGTAATCGCTATCAATGTGATGATGAGCATCTTCATTGCTAATTATACTCACCCACTCATTTTTTGTTATTTAAATTATTAAGCTAAACTATGAGGAGCCTTTTCCTTAGCAACATGGTTAATTTTACTCAATTGTCAGTCATTGTAAAACATGGTTCTGGCATTCAGATAGTTTCAAAGTGATTATAGCCATTTTTATTTGTCAACAAGCATTTCAGATGTGTTTGTAAGTAAGTGTAAATCTCTAGAAAAATATCTATTATGATTTATTTTTGTCACTAGCCATTTTATAAGAATATATGTAAGCTGCACTTAATTGGGGATGTGAATTAATATTGATTGAGCCTTCAAGTAAAAAGCTGATGAGGTGTTATTCCTTAAAATAATCAAAAGTATCTTTGTGAATATTATATTATTATGTATGTGTAAAGGCTATTCTCTCACCTACCCAAATTATCAGTTTATTAACCTAGGCCGCATAAGCAACAAGACCATTCACAAGTATACCCAGAAATAAAGATGAGTTAGTCAATATGACACTCATCATGGCATCTCAACTTTGATTGCATACTTTTATCACATGGGGACATTTAAAATACCTATCTTTCTCTCCTGATACTGTGATTAATTTTTTGAAGTATTTATTTAAATTGACACATTGTACATATTTATGGGGTATAATTTAATATTTGGATACATATCTATGTTGTATAATGATCCAATCAGTGGAGTGAATATATCTATCACCTCATGAATTTATCATCGCTTCATGGTGAGAACCTTCGAAAACTTCTCTTCTAGCCACTTTGTAATATAAAATATTTTACCCTTAACCAATGTCACCTTGCTGTATAATAGAATACCAGAATTTATTCATCCTATTTAATCGTCACTTGGTGCCCATTGACCAACCTCTCCCCATTCTCTTCTCCCCCTTCCCCTTCCCAGTCTTTAATAAGTGTTATTCTACTCTGTGCTTCTATAATATTGACTTTTTTAAAAATTGACACAGTTTTGCTCTGTTGCTCAGGCTAGAGTGCAGTGGCACCATCTCACTGCAACCTCAGCCTCATGGGTTCAAGTGATTCTCATGCCTCAGCCACCTGAGTGGCTGGGATTACAGGTGCGCAACACCACACCCAGCTAATTTTTTGTATTTTTAGTAGAGATGGAGTTTCGCCATATTGGCCAGGCAGGTTTCAAACTCCTGGTCTAAAATGATCTGCCTACCTCAGCCTCCCAAAATACCGGGATTATAGGTGTGAGCCACCATGACTGGCCAGTACTGAACTTTGTAAAAAAAATTCCAAATATATGTGAGATCATGCAATATTTGTCTTTCTGGCTCTGGCTTATTTCATTTAACATGATATCCTCCGGGCTCATCCATGTTGTTGCAAATGACAGAATTTCATTCTTTTTTTGTAACTGCATAGTATTCCATTGTATATACATACCATGTATTCTTTATCCATTTATTTGTTGTTGGACACTTTTAGGTTGATTTCATTTTTGGCTATTGTAAATAGTGCTGTAATAAACATGAAAGTGCATATATTTCTTTGACGTGCTGATTTCATTTCATCTGGACATATACCCTACAGTTAGGTTGCTGGATTATATAATAGCATCATTTTTAGTTTTTTGAGAAATTTCCATACTTTTTTTCTACCATTGCTTTACTAGTTTACAATCCCCAAAACAATGTATAAGTGTTTCCTTTTCTTTACATCCGTTCCAACACTTCTTTTCTTTTGTCTTTTTGATAATAACCATTCTAACAGGAATCAGGTGTTATTGTGGTTTTGGTTTGCACTTCCCTGTTGATTAGTTACATTGAGCATTTTAAAATATACCTATTGGCCATTTCTATATGTCCTTTTGAGAAATGTCTATTCAGGTGTTTTGCCCATTTTTAAATTGGGTTTATATCTTTTTTTTGTTTGTTTTGTTGAGGTGTTTAACTCATTTATATATTGTGGATATCAAGCCCTTGGCAGATGTATAATTTGCAGCTGTTTTCTCCTATTCTGTAGACCAGGCTTTTCCAACTCACAGCTCACAGGCTGCATGTGGCCCAGGACAGCTTTGAATGCAGCCCAACACAAATTTGTAAACTTTCTTAAAACATTATGGCCGGGCGTGGTGGCTCACGCCTGTAATCCCAGCACTTTGGGAGGCCGAGACGGGCGGATCACGAGGTCAGGAGATCGAGACCATCCTGGCTAACGCGGTGAAACCCCGTCTCTACTAAAAATACAAAAATTAGCCGGGTATGGTGGCGCGCGCCTGTAGTCCCAGCTACACGGGAGGCTGAGGCGGGAGAATGGCGTGAACCCGGGAGGTGGAGCTTGCAGTGAGTCGAGATCGCGCCACTGCACTCCAGCCTGGGCGACAGAGCGAAACTCCGTCTCAAAAAAAAAAAAAAAAAAATTTATAAGATTTATGCAAAGACTTTTTTTAAGCTCATTAGCTATCATTAGTGTTAGTGTATTTTATGTGTGGCCCAAGACAATTCTTCTTCCAGGGTAGCTCAAGGAAGACAAAAGATTGGACACCTCTGCTGTAGACTTTCTTTTCACTTATCTAATTGTTTCCTTTGCTGTGCAAAAAGCTTTTAGTTTGATGCAATTTCATTTATTTATTTGCTTTCTTCTCTGTGCTTTTGAGGTCTTATTTTAAAAATTCTTGCCCAGCCCAATGTGAAGAATTTTTCCTATGTTTTCTTCTAGTAGTTTAATAGTTATGGGTTTTACACTTAAGTCTTGTCTTTAATCCATTTTGAGTCAATTTTTCTATATGATGAGAAGTATGGGCTTAGTTTTATTCTTCTGCATGTGGATATCTGGTTCTCCCAGCACCCTTTAAGAGACTTTCTTTCCCCCAACATGTGTTCTTGACACCTTTGTTGAAGAAAATCAGTTGACTGTACTTGTTTGAATTTATTTCTGGACACTCTATTCGGTTTTATTAGTCTATGTATGTGTTTCTGTTCCAGTACCATGTTGTTTTGGTTACTACAGCTTTGTAGCATATTTTTGAGTCAGGTAATATGATGCCTCTAGCTTTGTTCTTTGTGCTCAGGATTCAGTTGGCTGTTCTTAGTATTTTGTGGTTCCATATGAATGTTAGAATTGTTTTTTCTATTTCTGTGAAGAATGTCATTGATATTTTGATAGAGATTGCATTAGGTCCGTAGATCACTTTGGGTAAGATGGCCATTTTAACAATGTTAATTCTTCCAGTCCATGAACATGAGACATTTTTCCATTTATTTGTGATCTCCTCCGTTTCTTTCATCAAAGTTTTAGAGTGTTTAGTGTAGAGGTAAATCTTTCACTTTCTTGATTAAGTTTATTCCTAAGTATCTTATTTTTTATAGCTTTTTAATTTATTGTTCAGGTAGTTCACTGTTGGCATGTAAAAATGCTACTGATTTTCAGATGTTGATTTTGTATCCTGCAAGTGTAATAAATTTGTTTATTAGTTATAACAATTTTATGGTGGAGTCTATAGGATTTTCTATATATGATTATGTCATCTGCAAACAGGGACAATTTGACTCCCTCCTTTCCAATTTGGATGTCTTTTATTTCTGTCTCTAGTCTAATTGTTGTGGCTAGGACTTCGATTCCATGTTAAGTATAAGTGGTTAAAGTGAGTATCATTTTCTTTTCCTTGATCTTAGAGAAACAGCTTTCAGCTTTTATCCATTCAGTCGGATGTTAGCAGTGTGTTTGTCAGATATGGCTTTTATTGTGCTGAGTTACATATCCTCTCTATCTAATTTATTGAGAATTTTTATTATGACAAGGTGTTGAATTTTACCACATTCTTTTTCTATATCTATTGAAAGGATCATATGTTTTTCTTTCTTTCTGTTAATGTTGTATATTACACTTATTGATTTGCATGCGTTAAACCATCCTTGATCTCACTTGATAATAGTGAATGATCTTTTTAATGTGTTAGTGCATTCAGTTTGCTAGTATGTTGTTGAGAATTTTTGTATCTATGTTTATCAGAGATATTGGCATGTAGTTCTCTTTTTTTGTTTTATCTTTCTCCGGTTTTGTCATCAGGTTAATGATGACCTCCTACAATGTCTATGCACCTACTCTTGCTCTTTTTCCTTTGTACGTTTTTAAGATATTGTCACCAACATGTTGCTTTGTCATAAGTCCCTTTAACCAAACACTCTTTCCTTTAACTTCTGTCCAAAGGTTAACTTTGAGTGTATGTTTCAGCTTTCTCACCGTTTTTTAGTCTGCAAATCTATGCCATGTTTAAACAATTCTCAAAAGAGCCCTGCCATAGGGAGGTTTTAAGCAAGCTGTTTTCATCTAATAAAGACAATTGTGGCTGGCTGAGGTGGCTCATGTCTGTAATCCCAGCAGTTTGGGAGGCCAAGGTAAGCAGATCACTTGAGCCCAGGAGTTCAAGACCAGCCTAGGCAACATGGTAAAACCCTGTCTCTACTAAAAATGCAATTATTAGCTGGCTATGGTGGTACAAGCTTGTAGTCCCACCTACTTGGGAGGCTGAGGGGGAAGATCGCTTGAGCCTGGAAGGCAAAGGTTGCAGTGATCTGAGATTATACCACTCCACTCCAGCCTGAGTGACAAAGCGAGATCTTGTCTAAAAAAAAAAAAAAAAAAAAAAAAAAAAAAGGTGAAATACACAGTATGACAAAATCTGCTTCTATGAGTATATGTCACAAAAATTACTTAGTAGGCAATCAAGTACTTGGCTTTAGTTTCTTCTTGGTTATACTTGGTTATAGGACTTCAAAAGCATTTTCTTTAGAAAAATTCTCCCATTCAACATATAAAAATAACAATAAAATAGAATCTTTGAAGACATTATTAGTTGTTGATGAGAACTATTATTTTATGAAGTCAATATTTTACTTAACATTAAAACCTGGATACAGTTTATTATGATTTTTTTTCTTTCTACACACTTCCTCACCTTCTTTATTTCTTGTTACATTCATTAGTTAAATTGAAAAAAATAATGATTAACCAAACTAAGCATCAAGTATACTTGAGGGCACTCCCACTTCAATCTCAGGCTAGGGAAACATAAGTTCAGTTGGCTGCTTCACATAACAAATTTAATTAAATATTTGGAGCATGGTTTAAGTAGAAACATATTTATCCAGGAGATGCTATTGAAGGGCCACAACCTATTATGCTTAGATGTTAACCATGATTTTAAACAACTGTAGCCATTCTATACTGCACAGTTCATAGGTGCAGGGCTAGAACTAGGGTGAGGCTGGGGAGGCATATGCCTTTGGTGCAAAAGTTAAGGGGTTACTAAAAAACTCAAGAATTAAGATAATATTTTAATGTACTAGGAAAAAATAAAATGCGAAAATATCCATGACGAACAAAAAAGATAACATTTTCAATAAAAACAATGTAACATTTAATTTGTTTAAAGTCCAGTGTTGCTTATTAGTTAATTTACTTCAGACTTTAACATGACTTGGCAGAGCATTTTATCCTGCCATTACTTTATATTTCATTTTTTAAATCCTCATTCTTATTATTTACTTATTTATTATTTTAGTGACAGGTTCTCACTTTATCACACAGGCTGGAGTACAATGGCATAATCATGGCTCACTGTAGCTTCAACTTCCTGGGCTCAAACAATCCTCTTGCCCTGTCCTCTTGTGTAGCTAGAACTACAGATTCATGCCACTAGGTCCAGGTAATTTGTATTTTTCAAAAACTTTTTGTAGAGAGTGGGATCTCACTGTGTTGCCCAGGGTCAAGTGATATTCCCACCTGGGCCTCCCAAAGTGCTAGGATTACAGTTATGAGTCACTGTACCTGGCCGGCGCCTCCTAATTTTTGCACTCAAGGTAAGTGTCTTACCCATCTTCCACTAGTCCTGGCCCTGCATTAAAGGCTTTCTTTGTCACTATAGCAAAAAGTAAGCATTTCAGGTTATACAGTGAAAGTTCAAACCAGATACTCTTTTTTTCACCTCTCTGTTAAGAAGAGGATTTGACAATGTGTAGTAGATCATCAACTCTAAAACTGGAAATTATTACTTATGGATAACCATAATCCTTTCCACCACCCCCACACGACCACCCACACCCACCACATTCTTATTTAATATCTGTAAGAGAGGATCTCAGAGTCTGTATTTTATAATAAATGCAAAATTGTTCTGTTGCAGGTTGTTCTGGAATCATAGTTGAAGAAACAGTTGGCTAGACTCTAACAGCTGTTCACAATTTCTCGTATCTCTCCTGATGGAGGACAGTGTTTTTAAAGGTAACTATTTGATAAAATATAATAAAATGGCCAGAGATTGTGCATCTTTGCATTCAAAACTATTCCAAAAGTAAACAATAAAAAAGCTTTGGCATTTTTAATGACTCTTTAGCTTTTCATGGGACTTTCACAGCTATGTGGCTTTAAATTGCAGTTTGGAAATTGAATATGATAATAATTGGTGAATACTCCACTTAATTTATCTGTATTTTATTTCTAGTTACCTTGTGGGAAATTAACTATTTCACCTTTTTAGCCATTTTTAAAAAGTATTACTTGAATTAAGAATATATTGCTTGAAATTATATAATGTAGGTGTATATGCTCCTAAATATAGCTACAAATTATTATAATGAGAGTGCTAATATTTTCTTAAAATTTCATAATGGATAAATGTAGGTTTTTAAATTTCTACCTCTTTTCATATTGTGTCAGCTTCTCAGTGTTTATGATAATCATCCTACAGGAACTATATACATTGAAATCACCTGGGGTGTTCACAGAACTACAGATTACTGAGCCTATTCCAATACCTATTGGTTTGGAATTTTCTAAAGGTAGAGCCCAAGAATTTGTGGTTTTAACCAGTATCCCTATGAAATTCTGCTAAACCTTGAGTACCGTTGGGGGTTAATCCTTCTGTTTGTGTTTGGTGTATATATATAGTCCATATGTTTTCAGTTTAATAATTTGGTGGGACCATTCAGTCTCCCAAGGATCTCTGTCCATTTCACACTTGACCTCCAAGTGCAGAGGAATATATAACCGCTCTTCTCTATTTCATAAATAGCAAAATAATAGAATAAGCATGATTAATAACAAGTCATTACTGTGTAAAAATTGTAATTTGAGTTTTCCTCTGATGCTTTTTCTGAATTTGTGGCTTATATTGTACTTTACAGCCATAGTACACCATATCAGCATGAGAGCTGTCACATAGAGCCAGAACAATAATCTGTCTGTCTCAGTATGACAGCACTCTTTTCCTGGGAACGAACCTAACAGAAGATACAGGAAGGACATGCTCTTAATTCTTAGAATATTAGCATCAGTTACTTGCTGTTAGATTTTCTTCCTAAATCTAACAGGATTTAAATTTTGCCAGTCTTCTCCAATACAAGTTTTATAGGCACACTGTCATCCATCATGTATTTATTTATATGCTCTGTGTCATCTCTCGTTACCTCCCTATCTCTCTCTCTCTCTATGTATTCATCTGTCCATCTCCTTAATGATTTTCCTAAACTTTGACCATGCTTGCAATCTCTGTCTCTTCCAAATGGATGATTTCTGTTTTACTAATCTACTTCACATATAATTCAACACATTTAACATGCTAATGCCCAAACCTCACATGTGTAATTATCAAATCAGGGTTATTAGGGTGTCCATTATCTCAAACATTTACCATTTTTTAATGTTGGAGATGTTCAAAATCTTCTCTTTTAACTTTTTGAATTGTATAAAATACTTTTTAATAGAAACCTTTGCACATTTTTATTTGCAGCCACATTATCTTTGCATTATTAAAACTCTTATCAGATTACTCCCTTGAAGAGGCTTAACAACATAAAAGCAATAAGAGGATAGCTCTGGCCTACAAGAGCCTTGTGGCCCAAAATAATGATGTTAATTAATGCCAGTCCTTTGTGAATACTGAGGAAATGTAAATGACAGCAAAAAGTAGTCACCATTTCCCCACTTCAGTCCTTAATTTACATACTGGTAGCAACCCCTTGACTATCTCACATCAGTAAGAGTTTCTTATTAAGAAAAATATATAGTTGTTCTTGAGGACACACTATCATAAGTCATTTATAAACAAGATATTTGATCATCAAACATGTAGATAATACAGTTAGCCTAACTTAAGAATATGGCCACATGGGTGATCTTGTGAAACAATTATTCATTCTTCTATCTATTTCAGGAATTTTAGTTACTGCTTAGGCATGAGACATGAACTTCTGAATCTTAGGAACTAGCACAAATTCTATTTTGTCATTAATTTCTGAATTTCATGGATATTTGGTGGCACTCTGAATAGGAGTGAGAGGGGAGCTCAGTGACTCAGAAATGTACACTAGCAACTGTCACTCTGAATTCTAGCCAGGCAGCTTAAATAATAACTTGGACTATCTACCCCCAAAATAAGACTTGTTATTTGTGTTTCAACTGCACTTTCAAAATATGTTTTCAAAATATGTTGAACCTGACTTTTCTACCTTTTAAAGACAAAAACTAGAATAGAAAACCTCCATGTTCCATCACCCAACTTTAAGGATTACTAATTCATATGCCATGTATCTTATTTGTTCTGAGCAGTTTCTGTGTTTGTAGTTTCCCAAACTCTGGGTTTGGCAAATTGCATCCCAAGGGGGAATATAACATGTTTCTCTCTTCCCTCCATCTCATATAAATTGGATATGAGATCTTGATTAGATTGAATTTAGGAGGTTTTGAGAATATTACGTTATAGGTAGCATTGTTCATTTTACTACAGAGACATATAATATCCACTTATCTTTCTTTTGGTAATGTTAGCAATTAATGATCATTGCCTATTACTGGACTAGAGTTTGTAAAATAGTGATGTTCTAATGCTTTTAATTCTTCTTAATGTATTAATTGAAATATTTGTATAAAGGGAAAGTTTTGCTTATCAAGTATTTGCTTCCCTTGAGTTACAGCTCATAGAGGGAAGGCTGGGCAAATGCCTTGACTGTTTTTCTTTATTTTCCTTTAGGTAAATAAAATAAAGAGTTGGTTTGTTTTCATCATCCAAATATCATCAGTGTTTTATTTTTTCTCGTTTGAATTTTGTGTTCAATATCTCTCTGAATCATGTATTTAAATATTTTAATTGACTTTGACTCATTGTTTTTGTTATGCTTATAGATGCTCAAATTTTCTCATCTTTGGTTATTTAGGTTATTTTTAGGTTGGTTCTCAATTGTTTCCTAACCACTCTGGTGTTATTTTGTTGGTGTTCTTATTCCACAAGTTTTTCACTGTTGCGCTTATGTTTTATTAGACAGTGATATGATGAACTAATATATCGTTCTAGGTGGTGAATCGTGATATTCTAATTCTGGAACATTCTAGAATGGTGACTTTTTAATTCTATCCTTCTTTCTTCATTTATTAAATACATTCCCCATCAACTCCTTGGATATCTTGATATATAGTTTTTTATTGGAGAGACAAGATAAATATTTTTTATATCTTGTTATTTGTTGATTTTTCAGAATATTAACTGGTTTTCTGGAAAAAGTTCCATAGATGACTATGCGAGATTGCATCATTGCCTGTAATTCTTCATCCTACCTGTGTCTCTACCCTTTGCAATGTTAATTTTTAGTTCATTTTAGTAGAAGGAAAGCGTTCTTCCCTTTCTTGACTTTGGGCTCAGTCTTGAGACTTACTTTGGCTAACAGGATGTTAGAGGCCATGGAATAATAAGGGGCTTGAAATTTGCTTGTGTGGTTGAGCTTTGTACTTGTACATGCACTCCTGTACTTCTGTCTTTATCATGAAGAGGAGCATGTCTCATCATTATGCTGCTTGACAAAGGAGGATAACAAAAATGTGGTCTGGATATCATTTGCTGACTAGAGTTAAGCACAGGGAAGCCCAAGCTAGAGTTTCCTTACCTCTAGAAAACCCACAGACACTTGAGCAAAAATTAATGATTTTTGCTTAAGCCAGTGTGTTTTGAAGTGGTTCATTTTAATGGATTATTTGTGATGGGTGATGGATACAGTGATCACTGGGGGTTTTGTATTATTATGAACTGATGGATCTTAAGAGGTTTGCTATATTTGAATCCATTTGTTTCATTATTAAAATATTATTCAGTGTCTTGCTTTCATGCAGTAGGAATCTCTTCAAATGGCCTCCTAAGTTCTTTTGTTCTAACTGTAAAAGTCTTTGATAATTTTATTGCTTTCTGGTGTAACCAGATCTTCCAGGCTCATTTGTACGTTCCTTGTCCCAGGCCTGGAGTCAGCTATTTCTCACAGAAGCCCTGTTTCCTTTTAGTTGGAAGTGTTACTAAAAGCTTACAATCTAGTTCTAGGGACTAGGGACGGGGCTAATGACACTATGTTGATCAGAATCTATGTGGATTTATTGAACAGACTGGCATTTTTTTAAACAGAAAATATGCCACCTTGAGTTTACACTGATATTTCTAATTAAAATATTAAAAATTATTATTAGAAGTTTTTAATTATACCTTATATATTATGGCTTTAGAACAATACTTCTATTACTACTAACATATGGTTGCTAAAAATACTTTGAGATTTATTTTTTAGAGTTTATTGTTTTATGCAAAACACTGAGAATATAAAGTTATATGACTACCTTTAGTGGTCATTTATAATAATTTTTCATTATCATGTTACATTGCTAGATTCATTATTTTCTCATTTTGCCATTGTTTCTTAGAAGCTGCTTTTACATTTTGTTTCTTCTTATAATTATGTGAAATATTTATACAGTTCTAAATAAAATGCATACAAGAAGGTATTTTCTGTAAAGTCTGGTTTCTATCCCTGATTCCTCCAACCTCTTCCTCCAGCTAATGTAATTTTTATTATTTTATTTTTTATATTTTGGATTATTCTTCATTTCCAAAAGTATATCCCTGCATATCTTCATGAAATATAATTTTTATTGATATGTTCACTTTTTTTAAATAAAGACACATACACCCTTTTCTCCATGATAGTTTTGTTTTTCACTTAACAATACGTTTTGGAGACCATTAATGATATGTAAATGTATTTCCCATTTCTTTAACAGCTGCATAGTATTCTATATGCAGATAAACCATAGTTTATTCAACAAGCCTTTAATTGATGATATTTGGGTTACTTCCAGTCTTACTGTTACAATAGTGCTGGAATAAATGGTCCTCTGCAGAGATTTTTTTGTACTTTTGCCAATTCATCTTTAGGATGTAATCATAGAAGTTGTTTTGCAGGTCCAAGGCAAATGCATGGATAATTTTGCTAAATATTGCTTTATTCCTTGTGTTAAGATTGTACTGGTTTTACATCGCTACCTGATATACTCACTGTTGAATCACAGTAGTAGAGTCGGGAGCTGAGAATGACACATTTGAATAAGAGAAAAGTTCGTGAAAATAAATGTAGTAATGCTTATGTGGCATCTGTTTAACATTATCAAGATTTAAATTTTGAAAACTGAGGCTGTTATACATTTTATAGTAAACATAGTATCTGATTTAAATTCACAAAGCCATGACACATTCCTTTCAATGGACTTGTCTAAAAAATGTGTTATGTTTTTTCCAGTGGCATTGCTATATTCTCTAGCAAAGAGTCAGTGACATTCTCAAGCTTCTTGAGTTACAAAAAAGCTTCTGTTCTCAAAATAAGTTAATGTTACTTGACAAGTATCATATACTTAAATTGAAAAGCTAAAATATAAACCTTCTAGAAGAAAACAAAGGAGAAAAATCTATCCAACCTTTGTCTAACACATATTTTTCAGGAAATGACACACTAAGCATATAAGAAAATTGATAAATTGACCTTTTTTAAAATAAACATATTCTGCTCTTTGGAAGACAACATCAAGAAAACAAAACTATTAGCCATAGGGAGAATCTATTCATAATATATTTATCCGAAAAGGATAAATACTTCTACTTAGAGTATATTGAACATGTTTACAACTTGATAAGAAGAAGACAAATAACCCAATTAAAACATGAGCAAAAAGGCTTGAATAGATCGTTCCCAAAAGAAGAAACATGTATGACCAGTAAGCAAAGGGAGATATGATTAATATCATTAATCATCAAGGAAATGACAATTTAAACAAAATGAGATACCAGAATATTTTCATTATAATGGCTACAATACCAAGTGTTGAAGACGATGTGGTGCAATTGGAATGTTCATACACTGCTGATGGAAGTGACAGTTGGTACAATCCCTTCAGAAAACTGTTGGAGCTTCTTAAATGGTTAAACATACACTTAGCATATGATTCATAATTGCATTTCTAGGCATTTACCCAAGAGAAATAAAAATATTTATTCACGGCCAGACACGGTGGCTCACACCTATAATCCCAGCATTTTGGGAGGCCGAGGTGGGTGGATCACGACGTCAGGAGATCGAGACCATCCTGGCTAACACGGTGAAACCCCCGTCTCTACTAAAAATACAAAAAATTAGCCAGGCGTGGTGGCAGGTGCCTGTAGTCCCAGCTACTCAGGAGGCTGAGGCAGGAGAATGGCGTGAACCTGGAAGGCAGAGCTTACAGTGAGCCGAGATCGCGCCACTGCACTCCAGCCTGGGTGACAGAGCTAGACTCCATCTCAAAAAATAAAAAAAAGAAAAAATAAATAAAAATATTTATTCACAAAATTAATATATGCAAATATATATTGTAGCTTTATTCATAACAATTCTAAACTGGAGAAAACCTAAGAATAAGAAGATGAATGGATAAATAAATTATATATTCACACAATGGAAAACTACGTAGTAATTTAAAGGCATGAACTAACACACACACAGTATGTTTGAATTCCAAATACATGTTGATAAACAAAAGAACATAGATATAAAAGAATAGGTACTGCATTTTATGAAATTGTAGAAAGATAATGTAATGTCTAGTGAGAGAAAGCAGAGAAATTGTTTGGGGCTAGGGTTGAGGGGATTGTGAGGACATTTTAAAAGCATAGAAGTTTCTCTGTATCTTGATTGTAGTAAGTTTGCATGAATGTAGACATTTTAAGTATTTTCAAACATTGCACTTAAGATGAATGCAGTATGTTGTATATGTTGTATTTTGATAAAGTTGATTAAAACGTTTTAATGAAAATGTTCTTTTTTAATTTTGGAGTCCACACTGAAAACATAATTTTTGTGTCATTGAAAGATCAGAATAAAATAAAGGTTACTTGAGGGCAGTATCTACAATTTATTGATAGTAGATAATCAACTAGTGTTGAATGAAAAAATCAATGAATGCGTAAATAAATGGTTTGATTACATTTAACACTATGTAGTTGGAATTTTAAAAGGAGATACTGGAAAATATATTCTATGCAAACAGTGTACAAAATAAAAACTGGGTTACTTAAACTAACATCAGATAAATAGACTTGAAGTGAAAAACTCTTACAGAGAAAGACAGTAAATATTGATAAAATAATAAATTTATCAGGAAGATATAACAATAATAAGCACACACATTCGGCAACAGAGCTCCCATAACATATGAAGTAAATATTGACATATTTGAAGGAAGATATAATTCAACAATAATGGTTGGAGACTTCAGTTGCTCACTTTCAATAATGGATAGAAGATCTAGGTAAAAGATAACTAAGGAAATAGAGGATTTGAACAACACCTTAATCCAACTATGCCTAAACAGACGCATGTAGACTACTTCACCCAAAACCACAGAATACACAGTTTTTTCAAGTGTATATGAAATAGTCTGCATAATAAACTGTATGTTAAGCCACAAAATAAATCTGAATAAATTTTAAAAGGTTGTAATTATACAAAGTTTTTTCTCAAACAACAATAGAACAGAGCTAAAAATCAGTAACAAGAAAAATTTTAAAATACATGAATATGTGAAAATTAAACACACTTTTAAATGGTCAATGAGTCAGAATAAATCACATGAAAAACTGGAAAATACTTAGGAATGAAAATAAGAGTACAGCATAACAAAACACATAGGATGCAGCAAAGTCAGTGCTCAGAGGAAAATTTATAGCAGTAAAACTTTATGTTAAAAAAGAAGATAACTCTTAAATCTATAACGTTACACTTTAAAGACCTAGAAAAAGAAAAGCAAACTAGGCTCGAAGCAGAAGAAATGAAATAAAGATTCAAATAGAGGTAAATAAAATAGAGTAGTAAAAAATAATTGAATGAAACTAAAAGTTGTTTCTTTGAAGAAAAATCAACAAAATTGACAAATCTTTAGCTAGACTACAAAGAACAAAGACAGAAGATGCAAATAACTAAAATCAGAAATTAAAGTGAGACATTGCTATTGACCTTACAGAAGTAAGAAGGATTATTAGAAATGTTATGAACAATTATTTCAGTGAAACAGACCAATTCCCCGAAACACACAAATTACAAAAATTGACTCAAGAAGAAATAGAAAATCTGAACAAACCTATGCTGAGTAGAAACTAAATCAGTAATTAAAAAAAAAAAAAAAAAAAAACCCAACCAAAAACAAGGCCAGGACAAGATGGCTTCAATGGTGAATTTTTCCAAACATTTAAAGAAGAATTAACACCAATCCTTCTTAGTTCTTTAAAACAAAACAAAACAAATAATAAATAACAATAACAAACATAAAAGAGATTACTTGCTAACTCACTTAATGAGATCAGTAGTATCCTGTTATCAAGCCAGATAAAAACATCATAAGAAAAGATTATTACAGACCAATATCTCTTATAAATACAGACACAAAAGTATTCAATAAAATACTAGAAAACTGAATACATCAGCACAATAAAAAGATTAAACACCATGACCAAGTGAGATTTATCCAAGGAATACGAGAGTAGCTCAGCATAAGAGAATCAATGTTATATGCCACATTAATAGGACAAAAAAAGAAAAACCCATGATCATCCTAAGTGAGCATAAAAAAAGCATTTGATTAAATCAACAACTTTTTAAATAAAAGTACCAGAAAAAGTAGGAATTAAAGACAACTTTCTCAACAAAAAAAAGGACATTTAGGAATAATCCACAGCTAACATCATACTCAATAATGAATGACCAAAAGCATTTCTCTTATGATAATGGACAAAAACAGGATGCCTGCCTTTAACACTGCTATTCAACATTGCTGGAAGTTCTGGCCAGAGAAATTAGACACAGTGATACACACACACACACACACACACACACACACACACACACACACATATTTTATAGATAGATAGATGGTATCCAAGTCAGAAAGGGAGAAGTAAAACTATCCCTATTGTAGATGACACAGTCCCATAGGTGGAAAGTCCCCTCCAATTCAAAAGAGCTCCTAAGGCTAAAAAATGAATTCAGCAAAGTTGCGGGGTACAAGATTGATACTCAAAAATCAGTTGTTTTTCTATACACCAGCAGTGAACAATTTTAAAAAGAAATTAATAAACAATTCTACCTATAATAACATCCAGTTTTTAAAAAAATACTAGGATCCAAAAGAACAAAACACCTGGCAAAATATTTAACCAAGGAGATGAAAGACTTGTACACTGAAAACTATAAAACATTGCTGAAAGAAATTAAAGATCTAAATAAGTGGCTGGATACGGTGGCTCATACCTGTAATTCTAGCAGTTTGAGAGGTGGAGGCAGGTCCATCACTTGAGCTCAGGAGTTCAAGACCAGCCTGAGCAACATGGCAAAACCCCATCTCTACAAAAACATACAAAAAATTATCCAGGTGTGGTAGCATGAGCCTGTGGTTCCAGCTACATGCAAGGACTGAGATGAGAGGATCCGTTGAGCTGGAGAGGCAGAGACTGCAGTGAGCTGAGATTATGCTGCTGTTCTCCAGTCTGGACAACAGAGTGAGACCCTGTCTCAAAATGAATAAATAAATAAATAAGAAGGCATCCCATATCCATGGATTAGAAGACTTAGTATTTCTAAAATGTCAATATTACCCAAACCAATCTATAAATTTAATGCAAACCTACCAAAATTCCAAGGCTGTGTTTTGCACAGATGGAAAAGACAATTCTTAAATTCATCTGGAGTTGCAAGAGACCCTGAATAGTGAAAACAATCTTGAAAATAAAAAGATTAAAAGAATTACACTTCCTGATTTCAAAACTTACTAAAAACCTACTGTAATCAAAATATTGTGATACTAGCATAAAGACAGACATATAGACCAATGGATTAGAATTGAAAGTCTAGAAATCCATGTATTTATGCCTAATTAATTTTTTGTAAGAGTGTTAACACCATGCAATGAAGGACAGAACAGTGCCTTCAACAAATGGTACAAAAACAACTGGATATTAACATGCAAAGGAATGAAATAAAACCCCTACCTCACACCATATACAAAAATTAACTCAAAATGGATTAATGACCTAAATATAAGTGTTAAAATTGTAAAACTATTAGAAAAACAAATATTATTTTTCATGATCTTCAATCTGGTGATGGATGCTTAGATATGCCATGAAAAATATGAACAACAAAAGAAAAAAATTGTTAGATAGGGCTTCATCAAAATTAAAAACTCTTATGCATCAAATGATGTTATCAGGAACATGAAAAGAAAACCTAGAGAATGAAAGACAATGTTTTAAATCATGTATATGATAAGCGCCTATTATCCAGAATATATTTTTAAAATTCTTACAACTCTGAGTCAAAAGGACCAACCACCCCATTTTAAAAAGAAGAAAACCTTGAATAGCCATTTCTCTAGAAAAAATGGACAAACGACCAAGAAACTCATGAAAGATGCTCAACCTTATTAGGTATTATGAAAATGCAAATCCAAACCACAGTGAAATACCACTTCATGCTCAGTAGGATAGGTATAATAATTTTTTTTTAAAAAAAGGAAAATGATGACAGCTGTTGAGGGTGTGGAAAAATTGAAGTCTTTATATATTACCATGGGAATGCAAACTTACAGAGCCACTGTGGGAAACAATTTGGCAGTTCCCCAAAGATTTAAACATAGAATTACCATAAGCCACCACAATTCTACTTTAATTATATACCAAAAAGAATGAAAATCAAGTACCCAAACAAGAATATGTATACATAGGTTCATGGTAGCAGTATTCACAATAGCTAAAAGATAGGAACAATCCAAATATCCATCAATGAAGGAATGATTAAATAAATTGTGATATATACATAGAATGGAATATTAAATAATAATTATATAAATAAAATACTAATATTTGTGACAAAATGAATGAACCTCCAAACCATGATGCTAAGTATAAGAAGCCAGATACAATATATGACATATTATATTATTTCATTTATATAAAATATCCAAGTATCTCCATAGAGAGAGAATGCAGATTGGTGGTTGTCAAAGGGGTGGGATGGTTGTCAGGAGGGGGAGGTATGAATGAGGAGAAATTACTTGATGGGTAAGGAGTTTTATTTTAGAGTGATGGAAATGTTTTATAACTAGCTAGATTTCACAGCATTGTAAATATACTAAATGCCGTTGAATCATTCACTTTAAAATGGTTAATTTTATGTTATGCAAATTTCACCTCAATAAATTATTTAAAATTTGTTTATCCATGTATTCAATAGTTTCCAATTGATTTTCATATGCTTCTAAAAATATGTGGACAATTTGATGCCTGTAAACTTTTTAGCAGATGAATAAGAATGAAGGGTTCTGCTCCCTTGGTCACCTTTAATATTTTTATTATTATTTTGGGGCACCTATGTTTGTCCTGAAGCTGTGTAGGGTCATAATATACAGAATATATATAGAGAAAAGTTTACAATCTGGTGAGAAAAATAGTTTGTATACATATGTGTTTACCTCTGCTTCTGTGTTGCCTTTGTCTATAGCTGTTTAAAACCTGCTCTTTATCTTTATCTCTAACTATAAAAATCAGAATATAACTTGACTAATGAAATCCCAAAGTAAAAGAATTTAGAGATTTTTCAGTATTGTTTGATGTAAGCAGATTCAGATTGTTTTTGTCCTTCACTGCTGTACACTGCTAAGGGGTCCTTTAGCCTCTGAAATGTTTTCAGAACCCTAGAACTTTGTTGAGCCCCTAAACCTCATTTCAGCCAGCATTCAAAAATAAATCTTCATTTGGACCAGATTTTTAAATTGTGATTCCCCTTTAGTGTGGAAATCAAGAGGATAATTTTACTAATGTTGCTAGCTGTATTTTAGTTACTTTTGAACAAATTTGTTTGAGGCTGGATGCTAGATTTTTTTTAGATTTTTTGCATAGATTTACATTAGGATGCATGCCATATTTTTATAAATTTATAAAATACATGTTAAATGTTCTATTTTTGTAGTATCATGCTATTGGAAAGTAAACTTAGTCTTTTAGAGGAAATTTTTTTAAAATATGAATTAAAAAAAGATTTTTATTCCCAAAAGAGGGAGTAGAAACAATAAAGCTCTCAAAACAAAGCCAACTAAAGAACAAAAAGAAAAAGCAAAATATGCAGTTTGCTTGACTCCTTTCTGAAATAACATGATTTTACATTTGGTGAGGCTGAAAGATGCCTACATAACAAGACAACCTCACTTGCAACATAATGACAAAACATACCATTACCTCCATCACAGATAGCCATAGACAGGTTTTTCCTTAATAATTCACTCCAATCAGTCTACTTACTTTACAGTATTAGGGAATTGGCTGTATGAAACTTTGTATTTAATGAATGTGATTCCACCAAAAAAAAAAAGAAAAGAAAGAAAATTTACCTAAATGAAGAGAATTGTCAACAAAGTATCTTTAGTAACCATCTATTGAGTGCCTTTTTAGGTAACAAACCCTATTTTCTAAAAACTCACTTTCAATCATCTCTTAGAGTCCTTGCACTAATATTATGAAGTAGATACTATCACCATGTGCTTGGCAGATCTTCAGCAGAGTACATATTGGTTGAGTAAATTTTGAATGGATTATTCCCTTTTTACAGAGGAGGATGCTGGCATTTAAAGGGGCTGGTTACGTCACTTACCCAGGGCCCACTCAACTGTCAATGATAGAACCAGGACTCAGGCTTATACCAATCTGATGCCAAAATTATATTTTTAGCTCTAAAACCAAAATTTTTTTCATGTCTGACAAATCAACTAGAAATGCTTTGTTTTCCCATTGAACAGATCTCTGTAATCAATGGAATAGGAACAAGTATTCCCTTCCTTTAAAAGAGCTTGTTGACCTCCAGCATTTACTCTAAAATTACCAGCCTTGCAAATAGTATCAAATATCATTTAACCACAAAAATTCTATTTGGGCTGCACTGTGCATATTTCATGACCTTGCTTCTACGTTTCCTTCAGGCCTTAAGTCAGAAGAGAAGGTAAATTAAGACGGCATTACCAACTGGATGTCTAAACTGAGAAATGGTTAAGAATGCTTATTTGATTCCCAGGTAGATGGTTTATCTGTCTGAGGGAGCTGGAGTCAAACAAAACAGATTCTTACAGTTCTGAAAAATAGGGATGTGGGGAAGGGAGAAAAACAGGGCTGGTCAAGGTTTTCTTCATGTACTTGGTTTTCTGCGGAAAAGTCTGATTTTTATGCAACTTGAAGTATAATTGCAGTACAATTGAGACTATGCACTGTTCATAAATTTCACTGAGTTGTCCTAGAGCAGAGGCAGCCTGGACATAGATGATAAAAGTTAGAGATGTAGGAGTGATTCCAGAGCAAGTGGCAGACTTTTCCAAGACTTCCTTATTCCCAAAGAAGGGAGTATTTGTCTTATATCTATGGGTAGATAGAGAGATGTAGCCTTATAATTTTGTATATATGCAATACTCTATAAATGAATGTATTTAATATAATGTACTACCTGTAGGAATGTATACACATAATATATATGATATTATATATACATATTTTAGAGCCACTATTTATACACATGTCAAGTACTTTCATATCCATGAGCTCATGGTTTCTCATATCAACACCCTGGTGTGGACTTCCTCAGAAACATAATCTTTACTCCACAAAGCATGCTTTTAAAAAGTATAAAGGTTATTTTCATGTTTTATTAACTTGTGTTGTAAATATTGAACCCTCCATAAAAATTCATAGGAAAAATATATAATATTTCCTGTGGATGAAGCCAGGATATTATTTATTACCTCTGCATGGACAGTAGGAAGAGAAGAGAGACAATAGTGTTTTTTCCTCAATGTGTCTTTTAATAATAATTAAAATAATAAAATACTAAGAATTCATTATGTTGTCAGTATTATTCAAACAAACGGATCTGGCTGTTTACCCTGTCTTGATGTTTTTGCTCATATCAGAGCTGCAATTTCTATTTTAATGTTAGAAGGTAAGCCAGCTATATTATTTCCATTTTATCATTGAGTTAGTCAAAGTATAAAAACCAATATGGCTCAGATTAAATAATCAAGTCAGCACCTAAAAAGGGTGAGGACACTGAATTTTGAATCCCAGACAAGGGTTCCCTTATCCAGCTTATGTTCTCTTCATTCAGGAAGTAGAAGGAAATTGGCTGTCTCCCCAGTTGCCTGTGAAAGGTGAACTCGCATCTTTATAACAGACAAGTCTCTCACATCTTAAATTGGTAAAATTTAGCAGCTCCACTTGTACCCTCCTCAAACTCTAAAGGAAATATCATTCCACAATGAAACGTTTGCCTCAATTTATCACATTCATATTGGATTTTAAAATGTGTCCTCAGTTTGTTAAGAATTTCAAGATTTCGGCATGAAACTGAATTATATCTACAGGAAAGAAAAGCTAAAAGTTTCAGACTCTTGTATTTCCCTGGTCCTTTTAAAAAAAATACTGATCAAGGAAGACATTTTTTAAAAATCCTTTGCATTCATTAACATATTTAGATAAATAATAAAGGAACAAGAAATAGTATGGTGGTTCCTTTGTTCATTTATATAATTTTAAAAATTATTGTTTTTCATTATAAGATACAAAAGGCATGCAAAATTTAACTTCTAATTCTGTAATATCTCTGAGCCCTTCATAGATATCAATAAATGATGTAAGCAGAACAAAGTTCTTGTCTGAGTACAAAAGCTAGCTGCTTACTAGAGTGGCACAATGCTAAGAAATAGGCAGGGTTTATTTAAAATGCATTCTGAATAAGAAACATTATACCAGACTTTGTGTCTTCATTGTTTGCTTTCTCTGCCTTTTGGGTGCTAGTTTATTTTGTGGGGATAGGATGAAAGATTTTAGTAGGCATAATGACCATTAGTTTTATGAGAGTAACCATCACACTCATCATTGGCTAAAAAAGACAAAACACCCAAAAAATTGGAATTAAGAATCACCTGCGTAGCAAGTTCAAAATGCGGACTTCCAGGCTTTATGACTATAAGTTTTACTCGTGTTGGGGTCAGGGGAGGTAGTGAGAAGGGGAGAGCAGAAACCTGAATTTTAAGGTAGTATACTCAAGTGACTAAGAAAAAGGTCAAGAGTACATTTTGAGAACCAGTGCCTTAAGGCTTCCTACAATCCCAAATATCTTTTTCTTATGACTCTGAGGAATGCAGCATACTTGGCATGAATAGGTAGGCCATATTCTCCTGGGCACTATTGCTTCATTTATAGAAATTGTTAAAATTTACTCAGTATGTTGAGGTACAGGTGTGATGAAAATCGAGAATCTTTGCGTAGTCATTCCAAGTCCCACATTTTTCAAAGAAAACTTATAAATTATAAACAATTCATAAGAACTCATTGCCGTGCAAGATTTTAAATTCAATATCGAAATAAAAAGAGACTTCTTTATGGCAAGTTTATTTAATAACCACAATGATCTTTTCTCTGAAGGTGTACTCATAGAAATGACTTTTTACTGTCATCTCCTGACATTTTGCCAGTATTAAGTAGAAAAATTGCTCACACTAATAAGAAGGCATGTATAAATATTGTATAAAATACTTATTTAAAATTAAGAGCCTCTTTCCAGCAGGAGTACTACAGAAAGAAAGAAACCCTATGTCTAGTTAAAAAATAAAAATCCTAGAATCATTTCAAGCACAGAAACATCTCTAGCTGTTAAGAAAAAGAAATTAACGGTAGCCATAAGGAAGGAAGTTAAATACATTTTCTCCCCCAAAATACAGCTACCCAATTATAGCAGCTGAAAGACAGAATGGCATTTCCACTACTACTTCAATGACTGTCATTTTACGTCATACAGAAGCTTCATACTTGAATGAGGTGCAATTCCCTGTAGCTAGAGATGAGTGCTGTGCCAAAAATATCTCTACTGGATTTGCCTACTAGAACAAATCGTGGGCTTTCCTGCTTGGCATAATGGCTCCGGAGAAACTCCTTACACAAAACCTTTTTCTCAGGGCAGTTTCTTTACCTGTATTTCATAAATTCATTCCTTTCCTTTTCATGTGTATTTCAGTGGACATTAAGAAGGATAATTTTAAGAGATGAATAATAATTCAGAAAATAAAATTATTATAATGGCAAACAACTTATAGAAACAGATCTAACAGGAAAACTAGGTTCTAGTTTGTGTGTATATATGCAATAATAAGTGTATTACTATTTTAATTTTGATGTTTTAGTTGAAAGATAAAAGACTTAAAGTACACACAGTGACATAATCTTGAATGTTTGATTCAATAATTTTTATACAATTTTAGCATAATTTTTACATGCATATACCTGTGTAACCACCAACCAGATAAAGAACATTTATGAATTTGCCATTATATATTAGTTTTGTCTGTTATTGAGCTTCATATAACTGGAATCACACAGTATATATTCTTTTGTGTTTGGTTTATTTCTTTCAGCAAGATATCTTTGAGACTCAGGTATGTTGTTGAGTGCGCCAGAACTTTATTTGTTGTTGTCACATTGTATTTCATTTTATAAATTTATCACAGTTTATTCATTCTCCTGACAAAGAACAAATGAATTGCTTCTACATTGGGGTTATGTCAATATAACTATTATAAACTCTTTATTGTTTTTAAGAAAATATACATTCATTTCTTTTGGATTTATACTTTGTAATAATGGAAGCACTGGCTGTTGGGTTTAGTTTCAAACATTTTTTTTCCAACTCGGCATGCAATTTTATACTTCATGTTAGTCCAGGTCCTCTAAGAGGCAGACATTAAAATGGAAATAATATACAAAAATTTTATTAGGGAAAGCACTTGTGCGGAGAAACTAGGGAAGGCTGAAGAGCTGGTGAGGGGCTGTGTAATTCTGAATGCCTACTGAAGTATTGATAGGGAGAAGGGACATTGGGTGGTGGAATCCTTGACTGCCATGCAGTCTAGATGTTTTGGCAGGGCTATCAGAGAGTCCTCCAGCCCAAGTTGGCCATCAGAGGAGTCCTTGGTCCACCAAGAACAGGCCTGCCTTAGACCTCTGCCACACGGAGTCATTGGCTGGAAGCAGCCCATGGGAAGCATAGTTTCAGGAAAAATGCAGCAAAGGAGTTCGGAGCAGAGCTTGCTGAGGCACTGTTATTAATGAAGATTCCTGTAGTTAGAAGTTTATGAGGCACATTCTGCTGACTGCCACGCACTCCATCCCGGAATATATGAAAGTATTAGTTGCTCCATAGCCTCACCAACATTTAGTATTTTCAATCTTTCTAATTTTAGCCATACTAGTGGACTTGTAGTGGAATCTCACTGTTATTTTTATTTTGTGTTTTCTGATGAGTAAAGGTTGAATTTATATTGAATTTATTTTTTCAAAGTGCTTATTTACCACTTTGCTGATCTCTCTTCTGAAGTACTTGGTCAAGTGTTTTGTCCATTTTTTGAATTACACTGTACGTTTTTTCTTACAAATTCATATATTCTGGACAGGAATCCCTTGTCATCATTTATCTTATCACATCAGTATCTTATTCCATCTGTTGTATGCTGATTTATTTTCTTAGTGGTGTGTATTTTTGATGACCAGAAGTTATAAATTTCAGTTAAGTCTTATCAATGTTTTTCTTCGTGGTTTACCTACTATATCCGGTTTAAGAGATTTATATCTACAGCAAGATCATAACAATTTTCTCCTTTATTCTCTTCCAGAAGCTACATAGTTTTACGTTTTATATTTAGATATATAACCCATCTCAAATTTCCTTTTCGGCACGGTGTGAGACAGAGGATCAAGATTATTTTTCCCCATTGATATCCAGTTGCTACAGCACCTTTTATAGAAAAGGCCATATTCTCTATATTGAACGTCCCTGGCACCATTGTTATAAATCAAATGAACATTATTTAATTGATACTATGTATTACTCATCATTTTAAATGCTTTATTAATAACTAACTTGCATAAAAACTCACACAGTAAATTCTATGACATCCATTTTATAAATGGAGAAACAAGTACAGAGAGGTTAAGTGGATGCCACCTAGCTAATGAGTGGAGTCCAGGATTCAGACATAGCCGATCCAACCCCAGGGCACATGTGCTTAACCACCACTCCATGCCAAATTTCAGGTACATCATATCTTAAATTACCTAGAGAGAGTTTATATAGTTATTTCATAAAGTAATTGAGCTGGTGAGTTTATAAGTTATATGATAGTCCATGAAGAATTAAATTATGTGGATCTAATCAAGATGGTTAACTTCTCTTATTGTTATTTTCATTTTTTATTTCCACTTTTTTAAAGTTCAGGGGTACATGTGCAGGTTGTGCAGGTTTGTTACATAGGTAAACATGTGCCATGATGGTTTGCTGCACCAATCAACCCATCACCTAGGTATTAATTCCAGCTTCTACTTTTATTTTTAAAAGGTTGTAAAATTGTTTATAAACCCTCATAAAAAATATAATGTATTTCATAAAATTAAAATGTAAAGAGTGTAAGGTAAAGTTCATAAATCTAAAATGGCATATCATAACCACCAAAATTTTTACAAGTACTTGTGAAGAATTAGTATTGAATACACATGACATACAACAAACATGGATATATAGAGATGGATTAACCATGTTTTATTAGCTCAAGGAACATATGTTTCTGTGAAATCCTATTTCACATCATCAGCTATGCTTCATGTCTAAATTAGTTTGAGGTCATTAATAGAAACCAGAAAGTATATCTTTCAAGCCATATTATAAACCATTCTGCCCGTGAGAAAGAACTTGCCATTTAGCAAGAAAAGTAAGTTCTGCCTTGAGGAAGTATGTTATATCATTTGACAAGGCGGAAGTGGTGAGCACTTCCTGATGGGGAGTCAGAATGAACACTTTTTTTTTCCTATAGTTTAATCTTGTAATAATGCTTATTATATTTTAAATATAAAAGTAAATATGCTTCCTGTCTATAATCATGTAAATATTAAGAAAAAAGAAGAAAATACTAAACATTTGTATATAAATCCACCACTTACTGTTGCTATTTTGTTATATTTTCTTCCAGTGATAGTTTATTTATATGTATATATGTAGACATAATCTATGTGTATACGCACATGCACATATATACATACATGTATATTAAATATTTCTTTAAAACAACAAAAAAAAGTACTGTATATAGTTGCTAGTTGGCTTTTTTCACTTCCTATTATCTCATGAGCAATACAAACTTCAAATATGAGCTTTTCAAATAAGCATCTGATAAAATATTATGTAGTTTCAATCTAATCTTTGCAATATAATTTAACCATTTCTATTGAAGTTCTATGAGTCCTTAGAATTTTATACTCCTACACATTCTACATGGTATAAAATGCATTCTAAATATAAATGATTTGCAGAGTATTCACATTTCCTTATTAGTATAAGGATCCAACTTAAATAAAAATAAAAAGTTCTATGTCACAGGCCTGCATAGAGTTTGTTAACTTGTGAAACCACACAAGAACTTATTATAATTCAGAAATATGTATTTTTCTAGTTCAGTGATTCCCAACACGGTGCCTTTGGTCTCCTAGGGGTCCGTGAAATAGTAATGACAGCCTTTGAGCTATTTTCAGTATTTCGAGAAGCTGAATATAAATCATATATTTATCTACAACAAGCAAAATGCCAAGACAGCAGAAATTGTACAACTCAGTATGGCAACACTGGCTATCTTATACTAATCCAAAAATTTGATTGGCTTACAATCTTTTGATTATCTTAAAGGAAAACATGTTAATTATTACTACATAAATTTAATGTATTTGGTGAGCTAAATCTTTTAAAGTGTGAAAGAAGAACAAACATTATTATATTTTACAAAAAAAAGTTATTGGTGGTAAAAACAGTGTCAAAAGCCTATTTCAAATGATGTCTACCCATATTTCATTGAATTTAAGAACCATTAATTATGAGATAAATCCTGATATTAGAGACATTCATACATGAGAAAAAAATGCTAATGAAAATTGTCAAATGTTTTCAAATTATGAGTCACATCTTGTTTTCAGAGAAAATAATATGCATGGCCTAGAGATCAAAGTTAACTTGGATATAATTGACAATCTAGTGCTTTCCATGTTAGAATGATAACTATATTTAAAACTATGCCATACATCCTGGAATTAAACTATTGAATTAAATATATTAAATGTGGTAAAGCTCACAATACCTCAAGTTTAATTGATTGGAAAATTGATTGTGCCTAGTGAACCTTTGGATTTCTTCTTGTGGAAGTTCTTCCGCATGGGATGTTATTTGCGCTCACTTCAGCTTCACACCACGACAAAAATAACTTGGTTAAATGCCTAGCAGAAAACAAGACAGACACTGTATGTCATTGAATTGGACAATTATATTTCTATATATAAAACAATGTTGTTTTTCAAATGGGGGTATCATATTTAGAAAGTACTAGAGTTATAGAAAAAATTAAAATATGTAAGTGTTTATAAAAATGTTTACTATTTCTTTCCATTTGATGAACAGGAGTCTGAAGCTCAGAAAAAAGACTCACTTAAGTTTGCACAGCTAGTTAATAACTGAGCTAGAACAAATATTGGTTGATTTTGCCTTACTAGTGTTTGTAAATGTCTGTCACTTAATACTTGATAAGCTTATTCTTTTCAATAAAATACTAGTGTTCCCTCTATCAAAATACATTGAGTCATTAAAGCAGGTATGCATTTTTTAACAACAACAACAAAGTAGCAAGCTGTTTCATTTCATTTTATTTTTATTTTTTAGAGATAGGATCTCAATCTTTCACTCAGGCTGGAGTGCTGTGGTGTGATCATAGCTCACTGCAGCCTCAAACTCCTGGGCTCAAATGATCTTCTGCCTCAGCCACTCATGAAGCTGGGATGACAGACATGCACCAGCATGCCTGGCAATTGTGTTTTGTTTTTGTTTTTGTTTTTTTTGTAGAGATAGAGTCTCACTATGTTGCTTAGGCTGGTCTCGAACTCCTGGCTTCAAACACTCGTCTTGCCTTGGCCTCCCAAAGCACTGGGATTACAGGTGTGAGCCACTGTACCCAGCTATTTTCATTTTAATCAACTTAACCTAGGATGTGAAACTTTTTTTATTAGAAATTAGTGTTGTTGTTCTATACACTATTCAACAGTATCATCACAGCTTTTTAAAAGCGGCTTTGGTTGTCCCAAACAATCCAAATTTTCAACTTAAGCCGAAATACTGCAGCTTTAATATTGGATTGTGGCTCACAAATTATGATGGTGCTTATTCCCACTGCTGATTGGTTTAGTTGTGGGTGATAAAATAGGTCAATAGATATTAATTTTTTCAGATATCTACATATTTTGAGCAACACAGTAGTTATATTGATTTAATTTTAATCTCCATTATAAAATTGACACTAAATATTTGCATTTAATGTTTTTAGAAAATTTCTTTACAGGAATTTTTTTCTGTCTTTGTTAGGTTATAGGTATTGTGAAAAATACAGAGTTTAAAACAATTATTTTTCCACTGAGATATATATATTTTAATGCAAGTATGTGTACTCTTTTGATATGTATAAAGGGTAGTCCTAACAGTCAATTATGTCAATCATATAAACATGCAGGTATTACATGAGTTTTCATTATACATTGATATTTCAGAAATTTGAGCAAGATCATACTGGAGACAGTTAAACAAATCTAAGACTCAAAGATCAAGATCATTTTGCTCATTTTGCTCTTTTTAGTTAGGTTTACTGTCGCAGATGCTTCTTATGTATAGATCACATCCTTCTAGCCTCATTTATCCCTAGGGATTTAGGGAACTTGTTTCAGCCTCAATTACTTGGTAACCAATACCAAGATGACTAACTCTACACAAGACAACCTGACATTGTCTTGCATAATGCTTGCTTTACCTTTTTTCATCTGTGTACAGATGCTTCTCTATTGATTTGGAGATTTGAAGTTCCAGAAATTCACTCTTTTAGAAGACGGTCGCATGGAACTGAGCAATCTGGCATACTTAATTCTGAGTAACCAGTTAGATAATGTACATTCTAGTTGTCTCTTTTGCCCTTCCCTTCCTTTAGCCCACTTCTTACTCTTCCTCCCTGGGATAATCTACTAAGTAAAAGCATATCACCTTTGCCTAAAGCTTTTTTTCTGGAATAAACAGCTAAGACAGTGGCCATATATCCTGGTTTACTAGTTATGAATGTAAATGGCATGCTTAAAAAATAGGACCTTCTTTTATACTCAAAAGTATCTGGATTTGTATAATCAATATCACGGTTGTTCTATCTGTAGTACTAACAAGAAGTATGCTATCCAACCTTAAGTCAGCCAAATAATTCTAGATTTGTATAATTATGTGTCTAGCAGAGAGCTAATATAGAGCTAAATAAGTATTTGTTTAATAAATAAGAGAATAAATTATTTAAACTTAATTGAATTAGTGTTTAATAGAGTATATATCCAATTATATAATTTAAATTATCAAGTTAGGTAAAAATATAACTACATGATAATAGCAATCTAATTGGATGGTAACTATCTAATAATCAGAGGGCAGAATATGTAAACAAAAAGAAGTATAAATGTTGTTGCAGTCAAGCTTTCCAGGACATATTTACACAGAGTGTAACTGTTGGAAAAGGAGAGTCAAATCTTCAAAGTGGAAATGTCATTGGAACTGGGTCTTGAGAATTAAATGGTGTTCTCCAACTAAATAAGAGAGAATACCATACCAAGCAGAAGGTGAAGAATGTGGCTATAGTGAGATTGGGAAATTAGTTGGCTCATTTGAGGAAAGACAATAACATATTTAAATAATTTTAATTTTCACATTTCAGTATCTCTGAAAGTGATATTTTTATTTCATCATTTTCCTCCAGCTTTTTGGGGGCATAATTGAAAAATAAATATTGTATGTGTTTACATTGTATGCATGGTATTTTGAGGTGATCATGACAATGAAGACAGTTCACATATCTGTTGCTCATGTGAGCCCCGAATATCTGAGACAGGTCTCAGTTAATTTAGAAAGTTTATTTTACCAAGATTAAGGATGCGTGCCTGTGACACAGCCTCACAAGGTCCTGACGACATGTGCTTAAGGTAATCAGAGCACAGTTTGGTTTTATATATTTTAGGGAGAAAGGAGACATCAATCAATATATGTAAGATGAACATTGGTTCAGTCCGGAAAGGCAGGACCACTCGATGTGGGAAGGGGGCTTCCAGGTCTTAAGTAGATAAGAGACAAATGATTGCATTCTTTTGAGTTTCTGATTAGTCTCTCTAAAGCAGGCAATCAGATATGCATTTATCTCAGTGAGCAGAGGGGTAACTTTGAATAGAATGGGAGGCGGGTTTGCCCTAAGCAGCTCCCAGCTTGACTTTTCCCTTTATCTTAGTGATTCTGGGGACCCAAGATTTATATTCCTTTCACATTCCACCCCTTCCCCACCGACTCCGCTTTTCTTTTTTAAAAATCTTTTGGAGAAAGCATTTTAGAAGAAAATGAGTCTGGTCTCAGGTTTCATCTGATCTTTCATGGCTAGAATGGTTTATTCCTAGATGGGTAAGTCCCAAGTTATTAGGAGTGCTCATTTTTAAGTCCCAAGTTATTAGGAATGCTCGTTTTTAGCAGATTATGAAGTCTCATATCCTATGGAGAGAAAATAGGGGGAAGAAGGGAGAAAAACAACAAACGAAAGAACAACTCTGGAAAATCAGTACAGGCCACATTACTCTGAAGTCCATACATCAGTAGGCAGGTATAAAAGTGGCTTTATATAGCTTATGTATATAAATAGGTTCCTATTATTTTCTTCTGAAGTTTAAGATGTCTAGCGTCAGTTCTCAGGGCTTTAAGAAAGCATAGCTTAGATTTTAGTAATTTTGGGGCCCCAAGATTTATTTTCCTTTCACACTCCTTTTTTTGTGTGTGTGGGTGACAGCATTTAAGATCTACTCTGTTAGCAATTGTCAAGTATGCAATACCTTATTATGACACATATTCACCATGCTATACAACACATCTCCAGCATTTATTCATTTTTTCATGAATCATGGTGATTTTATCTGACTGTTCCATAGGGTCCATAGCAAGTCAATACATCCTGTAGCAAATAAGTAACTTGCAACTAGATGATAATGTGTGTTAAATGCTGTGCTAAAAGTCTGTATTTCATTCTGTAGTCTAGCAGGTCAAAAAATGTTTTTCTATTCAGACAGAAAGGGACAGGAAGTTTTTAAAGATAACTCTAGTACTGGTGTGAAGAGTGAAAAGTGTGGAGAAATTGGAGGTAGGGAAACCGTCCAGGAGTCTATTGCAATGGTCTAAGCAGGCAAGAACTAAAACCATAGTAGTGGAAAAATAATAGAGAAGGTTAATTACAGAAACTTTTTGGTGTAGAATCAATAGAATTTGAGGACTCAAGGTTGGATGTGGGAACTGAGGAGAAAGGAGGAGTTGAGGAGATAATGCTCGGGTTTCTGCTCTGGGCAACTAGAAGGCTGTGGGTACAAATAACCAAATGGGGAAAACACAAGGAGACAGAGTCAGTGGGGACATTAATAAAGCACATGCTAGATATTTTAATTGTACAGTTTGGTGAAAAATGCCAGGAAACATGTTCCATAACACTTGTCTAAGCTCAGAAAAAAAAGATGAAGTCTTGAGATAAGAATAGGGATGTTATTTGTAGGGAGGTTTTGAAACTGTGACTATAGAAGACATCTTCCAGGGAACATGTGAGAATAAGCAGAGAAGTCAGGGGATAAATCTCTGAAGAACTCATTCTGAAAGGGGAGATGAACAGCATTTGAAGGTGTCAATGAAAGCTGGTAGAAAGGTCAGAAGAGATTCACAAACTAATGGGTCTACAGATATCCAAAGGAGAAATAAGTTAATGAAGAGTACGATCAAGTTTGAGGGTTTGAAAACAAATCAACCAAAATGAAGAATTTACTAGAAAACTAACTTAGAATGTTACTTATGATCTTAATGAGAAAAGATTTTCTATATAGTAATATGCACAGAGCTCTACAGCTATGATTTGAGCAGTGACTACAAGAACAAATGGTAAAGCTCAATGTAGAATACACTTTCAAGCATTTAGATGTAACAAGAAGCAAAGCCACAACACAGTAACGAGGTGAGGATAAGGAGTTATACAAGGGTTTCTGTCATTCTTTTCTTTTTTTTCTTTTTTTTGGAGACAAAGTCTCACTCTGTCGCCCAGGCTGGAGTGCAGTGGTACGATCTCGGCTCACTGCAAGCTCCGCCTCCCAGGTTCATGCCATTCTCCTGCCCCAGCCTCCCAAGTAGCTGGGACTACAGGCGCCTGCCACCACGCCTGGCTAATTTTTTTGTATTTTTAGTAGAGACCCGGTTTCACCATGTTAGCCAGGATGGTCTCGATCTCCTGACCTTGTGATCCGCCCGTCTCAGCCTCCCATAGTGCTGGGATTACAGGCATGAGCCATCTGTCATTCTTTTAGGAGGGCAAATGTCAGAGGCATGTGAACCACAGCAACTCCATCTTGAATAGGAGCTAGGTAAAATAAGACTGAAACCCTCTGGGCTGCATTGCCAGATGGTTAGGCATTTTAAGTCATAGAATGAGATAGGAGGTCAGCACAAGATACAGGTCATAAAAACCTTGATGATAAAACAGGTTACAGTAAAGAAGCCAGCCAAAACCTACCAAAACCAAGATGCTGCCAAGAGTAACCTCTGGTCCTCCTCATTGCTACACTCCCATCAGTGCCATGATAGTTTACAAATGCCAGAAAACTGCCCTATATGGTCTAAAAGGGAGAGGTATGAATGTCAGGAAGTTGCCCTGTATGGTCTAAAAGGGAGAGGTATGAATAATCCTCCCCTTGTTTAGCATATAATGAAGAAATAACCATAAAAGTGGGCAACCAGAAACCCTTTGGGCTACGCTGTCTGTGGAGTAGTCATTCTTTTATTCCTGTACTTTCTTTTTTTTTTTTTTTTTTTGAGACGGAGTCTTAGTCTGTCGCCAGGCTGGAGTGCAAGTGGCACGATCTTGGCTCACTGCAACCTCTGCCTCCTGGGTTCAAGCAACTCTCCTGCCTCAGCCTCCCGAGTAGCTGGGACTACAGGCAAGCACCACCACGCCCAGCTAATTTGTATATTTTTAGTAGAGACGGGGTTTCACCATGTTGGCCAGAATGGTCTCGATCTCTTGACCTCGTGATCTGCCCGCCTCGGCCTCCCAAAGTGCTGGGATTACAGGCGTGAGCCACAGCGCCCGGCCTCCTGTACTTTCTTAATAAACTTTTTTTCACTTTACTCTGTGGACTCACCCTGAATTCTTCCTTGTGTGAGATCCAAGAACCCTCTCTTGGGGTCTGGATCGGGACCCCTTTCTGATAACACAACCGTGAAGTTATTTGTTAACTGAGAAGAAACAAGCAAATGGGGAGAGTTGAAGAATCAAGGGAATGAAGGAAAAATTACCATGGTGGTCTTATGGGAAAAAAAATGGGGTGGGACAGATCAGAGGTGAAAGGATTAGCCTGAGAATGAGAAAGAACACTTTCAGATAAAATTTGGAGGTAAACAACAATGTGCATGGTGCTATAAATGCAGATTTGGTGTTAGGTGGAGAGCTAAAAGTTTTGTGGATAGAGCTTTTAACTTTTATTAAAATTATTCTACTCAGACTATTCATTTCTACATTCTATTATGGAATATAAGGGAAAATGTAAATAAGGGCTCTTGCAAATGTTTCAGGGATTTCCCAGATATTTTATTCCAAATTTCTTAAGATTGAAATGCATACTAAAAAACTGTTATGAAAACCTATAAAAAAGGATACACACTTTGTGTGTGTGTGAGATGGAGTTTTGCTCTTGTCACCCAGGCTGGAATGCAGTGGCATGATCTCTGCTCACTGCAAATACCACCTCCTGGGTTCAAGCAATTCTCCTGCCTCAGCGTCTGGAGTAGCTGGGACTACAGGCACCCGCCACCACTCCCAGCTAGTTTTTGTATTTTTAGTAGAGAAAGAGTTTTGCCATGTTGGCCAGGCAGGTCTCGAACTCCTGACTTCAGTTGATCTGCCCACCTTGGCCTCCCAAACTGTTGGTTTTACAGGCGTGAGCCACTGTGCCCCGCTGATACACACTTTTATAAAACATACGTTCCCACAAGGATTGTATAAAATGAGCACATTGGAGGCCATTAGTGCATTCATTTGGATAATTGGATTAACTTTTTTCTCTGCTATTAGAAGAGAGTTGTTGAGATTGTTAAGATCAGAAATTTATTTTTAAAAGTTTATATTTGTGGCTGGGCGTGGTGGCTCACCTTTCTACTTATGTTGTTCAATTCATCAAAAGTTCAACAGGGATAATTTAACTACATTAAACTGAACTTATTTGCATGTTTTAAAATCTTAAGTTTCTTCCTATTTTCAGTCTTCCCAACCTCAAGTTCATCTTCCAAAGACCGTGAGAAAGATCAACATCATAAAAATATTAAGTAGGGTATTCAGTCTTCCCTGTGTCAGTATTATTTACAGGGCAAATAGTACTTTTGTTTTCAATGGATAAATTAATGCCAAAGAAAACAATAGAGTTTAACAGTCATTCTATAAGCGTAATGATTTTGACTGTGATATAAAGCTTGACTATGTCTTGTGAATCATTACAAGACATTGTTTACAAGACGTGTCTTTGATTCATTATTTCCACAAGTTGCTTTAGTTTAAATCCTAGTTCACCTTAAATGTATCATTGAACATTCAAGGAGAAAAATTATTTAAGAATAACAGGCTGGGCACAGTGGCTCACGCCTGTAATCCCAGCACTTTGGGGGCTGAGGCGGGCAGATCACGAAGTCAGGAGATCAAGACCATCCTGGCTAACATGGTGAAACCCTGTCTCTACTAAAAATACAAAAAATTAGCCAGGGGTGGTGGCGGGCACCTGTAGTCCCAGCTACTCGGGAGGCTGAGGCAGGAGAATGGTGTGAATCCGGGAGGGGGAGCTTGCAGTGAGCCGAGATCGCACCACTGCACTCCAGCCTGGGTGACAGAGCGAGACTCGGTCTCAGAAAAAAATAAAAATAAAAAAAGAATAATAAAGTGAGTAAAAAAGGTGGAGCCAAAGTGTATAAATTCCAGTTTGTCTCTTCCTTTTTCATTAGCTCCTTTAGACTCCTTAACTTTTTTTGCAAATGAAAGAGATTATCCAGCTTAGCTCCCTTGTTTTAAGTAGAAAAATACTCTTGTCAACAAAATAACAATGGGCTAAGTTTCTACTACCATGCTCTTTCTTTATTCCGGTGTCTCCTTTACCGAATATATAACATTAAACAAAACATAACCAAGAAAGACAGTAAAAAAAAAAAAATACGCTGTCATAACTTTACCCCAAATCTAAAGAATTTTCAGAAATGTAGATGGCATTCCAACTTTGTAATTTGTATATCTGATGTTCTCTTGAGTTCATTAACTACAAATTTAAGCAAGCAAAAGAAGAGAAAGAAAGAAAGAGAGAGAGAAGAAGAGAGGGAGAGAGAGAGGGAGGGAAGGAGGAAGGGAGGAAAAAGGATTAGTATTGAGTAAAACTGAGAGGGAAAATAAAGAATTTGGAGAGCTTTGTATATAATACAGACTGGAAATGATTTCTGTATATTGTCAGAAGATATTTCAGAATTTTACAGAAATAAAATATTTGAAGTATATATAATAAGGCATGTAATACCTTTAGCCATTACATAGTTTACACCACTTTTTTTTCAAGTAATGTGCTTTTTTATGCCGTAACTTGAAATAAGGACTTACCTCCTGGGTCCTCAGTGAGGAAACGGAGTATTTTTTTTTTCTCTTTGAATATCATTGCTCATAAAATGTTTTGAACAATATCCATATGTCCTAAATTATTAACATATCTTTGATTTCTATATAGACAGATATTTTATGATATTTTTCTGAAGTGGCATAATCAACTTTATTTATATATGTACTCATCAACTTCCTCCAAATCTGTTCCTTCCTCCAAACCTGTTACCTCCAATCTCTTGCCAAAAACCCTCCCTCCAACCAATCAAATGGGTTTCTTAAAACAGCCTGTTAGTTTATTCTTTTTCTCTCCCTCACAATGGAATTGCCTAAATTCTGCCCTCTAGCATCACCATTTTCTACACTGTACCCTTAGTGTGATCTTTTGAACATAAAATATGACTATGGCTCCTCATTCTAAAAATCTCTTGGTTAGTAATAATTCTCATTTCCTGGGCATTTACTATATGCTGCACTATTCTCACTGTTCTTTGTGAATTTATTCAATTTATGTTAACCTCAGCCCCATGAGATAGTTATCTCCATTTTCCAGATGACTAAAGTAAAGGCATACAGAAGTGAAGCAACTTTCTCAAGTTCACACAGAATGAACAGATGTATGAATGAGAGAGTCAGGACTCAAACTCAGGCTGCTAGACATCTGCAAGCTTCTGTAAACCTCTTCCACATGATGCCTTTCATAAGCACCATGTGATCCACAAACTGAAATATAAGTGTAATTGCATGAAGCTGTTGGTGCGCTACACCTTGACCTTATTGATTTAGCGAACATGGATGAACTTTCAATTCCCAGTACTTACATTTCTTTGCCTGAAAGCTTTATTTATCCCTTAGAACCTGCTTTGCTGCCTGTGAGGTAGGTTGGAAATACCAGTGAACTAACACTGTCTCTCAACCAATGAACAAAGGAAGTTGGTGTATCAACAATACTGCATCCCCATTTTCCTGTTTGAATGTTTCTTTTCACAGACCTGTATTTTACACTGGCTACTGAGTTCCCTTAATCCTCAGTAGGATTAAGGGGATCAAATATTAACATGGTTGATAACATACCCCTCATTTTCTACTTTCCTTCCTCACTCTCATGAAAGTATTTTCTGGGTTACCTATAAAATAAACTAACTGCACATCCATCTTTTGCTTAAGAACTATTTCTGGAGGAACCCAAAGCACATGGTATGAACTTCAGCATGTGTATTCCTGTCTTTTCTCCTGTACCAACTTTCCCGCCTTATGTCTTCAAAGCCCCTACACATTCCAACACATTGAGCCTCTTGAGTTTACATGGAGTTCTGTCAGTCCTCCTTGATTTTTCAGGGTCCAGTCCCTCTGCATGGTATGGCCTTTCTTTCTTAATCCACTTGATAAACTCTTGCTAATTCTCATCTTCAATTTAAAGTTAAAACACTTCTTCCAACATTAGAACGCCTTCCCTAACTGCCAAAGAATTGTAGAGTGCATTTGCCCCTGCCAATAGATTTTGTATTAGGTCACCATGGCAATGATCTACACATTCTCAAGTGGACCTGCCTGTCTCCTTACTAAAATCTAAAAACTTTGTTGACATGAAATAGATCACTACATGTCTATATTCCCAACATCCAGAGTATGTACTTCACAGACATTAGTCAAAAGAATAGATGAATGAGGCATTTTGCTATTTTGATTTATAAAATAATATGTAAAACAATTTTACTATTTGAAATTTAAATTTTGAATAATGTATAAAAAATTTTAATCGTAAAAATACTTCATTATTTAATGACCATAAAGGTATTCTATGTTTAGCCCAATGTTCTGATTAAAGCTTGATGTCATTTATAGATTTTTAACTGTGTAAATATTTCAAATGTTATAAAACTACTGTATCACAGAATTTGAGCAAAATGAGTTTGAAAGTAACTCTATTATTTTAAATTAAATTTGGAAAAATAAATGTAATTTTTATATGACTACAGAGAAATGGAGGCCTTAATAATTTTATGACCATATTCTGTTTACAATTTTATTATGAAATATTTTAATGGAATACAAATAAAACCCAAAACATGTTACTAGTATTACTAGTGATTATATTAATTAGATGTGGCACCAAAAAAATCTTTAGACAATTTGTTACAGGCTGTTAATATTATGATTAATAATATTATGTTAACATTATAAGCTAAACTGTTGTTCAAATAAATCTAAGTTGATTTATTACCTGAATGAACTTTAGGTGAAGTCAAATGTCATTATGAAAGATTTCTCTCCATGAATTTACTTTTCACATAGGCTAGTCTAAATTTACAGGGTTTTTTTTATAAATAGAGTATAATTACTTTATATGTTTTTAAAATTTATTCCAGTTTTCTAATTATAGTTAGTTATTTTCCCTGCCTCTAAGAATGAAGTCTTAAAAAGAACTGTGGCAAAAAGGGACGCTTTGGGCCAATATATGCTACAGACAGCGACAGAACCCAGTAGTTTTTCTTCTAGGTTAGCCTAACATTGTGTCACAGTTGATATTTTAAACATGATTCTGAGAATTGAGTTTAGTTCCCTCAGTGACACTAAGTCATACTCCCTCTTGAGCAGCTATTTGTGTGTCTAGCTTTTACATCTAACACATTTCTTTTTCCCACCTTCCATTTGTGAAGAGAATTTTTAAAATGCATTCAAGTCCAGAAATTCAAAATTATGGTTCCCAAAGCAAGTGTGACTCAGCCAGGTTGTGAATTAAGGCAATAAAGCAAATGCCTATGTTCAACTTTTATTTTTATTCATTTCGAAAACGTTATTCCCTGGAATTGCCTCCTGAGACAGACACCTCATAGTGATTTGCTTCAGCAAACTTCTTACCCGTCTGGTGATCTCTAGAATGAAAATGGAACTGGCATAAGTGACAGAATCCAGTTAACATAGAATAGGCCAATTTCCTTCCTTCCTTAGGCACAAACTCTTCCTTTGGGTTGGAATGCGTTTAACATCTTCAAACTTTCACATACCCCTACTCTTTTCTTTCAGACCTCAATTTAAGTACAACTCCCTACCCAACAAACACCCTCATTTTAAATGAATTCATAATAACCAATGCATTTATTGCATAGCACTTTTCCTAAATGTTATTAAATAATAGTGTATTTATTTATGTATTTAACACTAGGATATTAATTCCATCCAGACAGAAACCTGATGCATTCCCACCTAGTAGCTGATACACTGCCTTGTTCTTTACAACCATTTGATAAGCCTGAATAAGTGAATGATTTTCCTTTTGGTACCAACTTGTGCAATCATTATAATCATTTCTTTTGGAGAAGGATTTTCTCTGGGATTTGATGATGGCATTTTCGTAATCCTTGTCCCAATTAAATGGGCTTTCTCTTATTTTTTTATTTAAATATATAATATCCCTGCAGCTCCACCTCAACATCATTCCTGAGTATATTTGCACTGGTGCACAAAAAATAAAAGTTTATCATGGCTCCGGACTGACTCAGACTCTGAATTCCTCAAAGGGAGGATCTAGAGCTCAGAGTTCGGCATGGTGGTGAATGCCTGTAGTTACAAGTACTCAGGAAGCTCAGGTGGGAGGATTGCTGGAGGCTAGGAGTTTGAGGCTGCAGTGCTCTGACTGTACCTGTGAAGAGCCACTGTACTCTACCCTGAGCAACTAGCCAAATCCCATTTTTGAAAAGAAAAGGGCAGGGGGGAGGTTGTATTATATCCTTGTACTCTCAGACCCAGATATAGTGCCCAATAAATGCTTATTTTTCAAATGAATAAACATATGAATAAATGAATGAAAAGCATCCATCAGAGCACTTCATGGTGTTGATTCCCATATTACAAACTTCTTATACATTATAATTTTATCAACAGATGGCTAAAGGAAATCAGGCACATATTTTATCCTACGAACTAATCCCACATCATCCATCAGTTTAGCTAATATGCTATATTCTGCTCTATCAGTGTAACATTTTAGGCCTATCATAATGCTAAAATCTCTGTCTTTTCCAAAAGTCTCTGAGTAACAACTTTTTGAAGTCACGGCCATTCAGTTTTTAACCTAATGGGCCTCATTTGGCAAATAACTAGTATTTACTCTTACTAAATGTTTACTGAATACCATCTGAGCTTTTGATTCTCTACAATCACTGGGCATACAGAACTGAAAAGCATGGTTGTTGGTTTCCAGGAATATACAATGAGGAAGCATATGTGAAAAAATAATACTACAAGGGAACACATGCCTTGTGTAAAAGAGTGAAAGTGACCAAAACTCTTCTTGATATTCAGAGGACTGAGTCATTCTATATGGAGGAGGTAGGGAAGGCCTCCTGGACTTAAATTAAAATTTGAAAGATTCAGATTCAGGGCATGCCAGACAAAGGAAAAAGCTTGGTTAAAAATCTAGAGGAGTTAGAATTTACATGCTATCCAGACAGCAGGCAACAAATGGCAGGAAATCAGTGATTAAATTGGCTGTGTTGAGTGGAGCAGTGGATTGGAGGCAGTGAGTTATGAGCTGTGAATTTGAAGATACTACTCTTGGGTTCTTTACATGGGGGCCTGTACTGACCGGGGACAGATTAACAAGAGATGAAGACGTACAATTTGTATTAATATTTTACATGTACAGAAGTTGACAGGAAAGAAGTGACTCACAGGTGGTTTGACTTAGGGGCTTTTATACCATTTTATCAAAGGAAAGTGGATTTAGGCTTCAAGTGATGATAAATCATGGAAAGTGACTAGGAAATATATGGGAGAAGTAATGGAAGATAAGGATACTGAGTATGTTTATGCAAGCTAATCTGTGTTTATTCCATCTCTAGTAAGAATAAGTGAGGAGACCACTGCTCATGTTGTCTTATGCCTAATTTCTGCCTCCAAAGAAAGAAGATGTAAAAACTAAAAGGCAGAAATAAAATCCGCAGGCAGAGAGCCTGGCGCCACGCCCTGGGCCTGGTTAAGATCAACCCCTAACCTAACCGGTTATGTTATCTATAGATTCCAGACATTGTATGGAAAAGCATTGTGAAAATCCCTGTCCTGTTCTTTTCCGTTCTGATTACCAGTGCATGCAGCCCCCAGTCACGTACCCCCTGCTTGCTCAATCGATCACGACCCTTTCACGTGGACCCCCTTAGAGTTGTAAGCCCTTAAAAGGGACAGGAATTGCTCACTCGGGGAGCTCGGGTTTTGGAGACGTGAGTCTGCCGATGCTCCCAGCTGAATAAAGCCCTTCCTTCTACAACTCAGTGTCTGAGGGGTTTTGTCTGTGGCTCGTCCTGCTGCAATAAGAGTGCCTTCCTCTTCCATATACAGGGGACACCTTTACAAACAGAAATTTATGTTCTGCTTTTAGGCAGTTAAGGGAAAGGCAGAGAACTCTTCCTGGGCCTGTTGATTCTCAATTGCCTTCAGCTCGAAATAATCTTTATACTACAATGTCATATTTTGGAGTGACATATTCTAATCACTTCATGGCCTTGAATAACGAGTTATGAATCTTTGAGCTCAACTTATGTATAAACAAAGCCATTCATTGATTTGAACAAAAGGTGAACTCTTTCCCTGTTATTTCCTCTTTTCCAGCATATCCATAACACTACCTAAGCTCTATCAAACTTTCCTCCTTTGCTGATTCAAATATAGAGGAACTAATTTCAGATCCAATGGCTCATTTCAAGTCTCATGAAAATTTGCCTAAGACAAGTCTTGATTTACCACTTCTGACCTCTCAATTTATTGATAAATCTTATAATCACATGTTTACTTCTAATTCGTGAATGTCAGAGGTGGTAGAAAGAGATTTCTATGGAGAAGAGAATGAGAAAAATGGTGAGAGCATTTCAATATGAAACATCCTGTTTGATAGTGTGTATGTCTGTCGCGTGTATCACTGAATAGAAAAGTAAAGATGAAATGAAACTATTTTAGTGAATTGCACTTGACCTGCAGTATCATTTAATGATAATCATGAAATCTAAGTTTCTCTTTTACCAGTTTTGAGAGTTATGATAGGAATTTTATCTTTATTAATTCTTTGATCAATTATGTAACTTTTATAATTATAGTCTGAGATAATACCAGCCTATTTGCAGGCAAGATGAGATGAAATACCTTGACATCAGTTGGAGAAGCATTGCATAATTCCATTAGAAGCATTTAGATTACCATAGCACCATCTGAATATCTCTTTGTTAAGAAGTCCTTTTTCACAAATTAATGTACTTTATCATACATTTATTCGCGGGTGAAGAGTTAGCTGATGAAAACTATGCCACAGTAACTTGCTGTTATTTCTTTATCTGTAAGCAAACATCAACACCTCTTTCTTCAATGCATGCAGGAGAGATACTTAAACCTAAACCTAAAATTAGGATTTTAAATTTCCACCTCTGAGGAAATGTTTATGTACAGCACAGTTTTGTTTTTTGTTTGTTTGTTTGTTTTTTTAATGAACACTTCTCGTCAACCAGAGTAGAGGGAAGATTCGGATTTTAGCAAGAAAAGTACTGAAACAAAAGTTCTATCTGCCAATGAGAAGACAGTCTGAAGTGAATAGTATTAATCAGAAGGTGCATATACAAGGAAGTTTTCAATTAAGAGAAACTAAGTAGCTTTAGTGAATATAGAGCGATATTCTTTTCAAATCTGGGCTCCCAATCTAGTGCCCTTAAATGTTTATTGCATTTTTAATTGCTTGAAAAACAGTAGGATATTAGTGAAATTCCTCGGAAGGCAAATAGTCAAAAGACTTCATTTAAGTCCTGTAGTTAGTGATTCTCATTGCGGTACCACACAACAGTTTAATAGAATGCTTTTAAAAGGCAGTCTCTATTTGTAATTATGTGGCATGTTGCAATGCTATTAGCAGTTGTGTTTACCACGGCTTTAGGATGCTTGAGACAAAGGCTATGGTCTGTTTCCTTTATAATGGCAAGAAATAATTATAATTACATACTCATGCCTGGAAATAGTGTTCATAACCCCATGAATTAATAACTCTTTAACTCCATGTCACCCTACCTTGACAATTTATATCATACAGAAAATGAGCAATATGTGAATTATTTGAAAAAAAAATTCGCTTGTAGTATCTAAAGTATTGTCAAAGACTCTTTTTTGAGCAATATGTTTTTTAAATTGACCAAAACCTCCTTTGATTCCCCCTCAAAGCTAGAATACTATTTCAATGTTCTGCTTATATATATATCAAATCGCTTTTGAGTCAATGTGCTTAAATGTCTTAAATGTCAACAATTAGAGCAGCTAACATCTGGGAACACTACTTCCACTATAAAAATCAATATGATGCTTAGGCAAAAATACTGTACAAAATGCACTCCTTTGTAGATTAATATTATAAATGCCAAACTGGCCAAGAGAGATAAATTTGTGAAAAAAATATTACTTGGGAAAATAGAGTGTGAATAGGTTATATGTGACAAATTTTATTGTTTTAATAATTTTTCTTATAGAGTGTCCCATTGCCCTTCTTATTTGCTGAGCAATCGTCAGCTTGATGTAATGAATAATTTATTGACATTTCCCCCCTTTCTTTCAATAAGAGAAGAAGGGTATCAAATGTAGCAAGGGACTTGGACAGCAGTAATACCAGGCAGACATACATACTCTCTGTTGCCTACAGGCTCATAGGTCACATATGTGGGTATGTATATGTGCTTGTGTGTGGACATGCATTTGTGTGTTTCTATGTGTGTGTAAATGTGCATATTCCTATCCATTGAAAGCCAAAGTCAATTAAAAATAAAATTCAACAACATGGGAAAACAGCAAAGTAAATAGTTTTTTCCTAATACTACTCCCTACTAAACTCAAAATATCATTACCTTTATACTGAAATGTTACAAACAGCTCATGAGAAATGGCTAATATCGTCGAGCACTTGCCCTGTGGCAGAAGCTGACCTAAGTACTTTTCAGGCATTAACTAATTTTCTCTTTGTGACCATGCTGTAAGATAGTAACTATAATTGTACTCCCATTTTATAAATGGGAAAACAGAGGCACAGGAAGGTCACATACTTTTTTTTTCAAAATTTCAGGACAAGTAATTCGTGGAGACAGGATTTGAATTCAGACAGCACACACCAAGCCATTTTTCTTGATCACTAATTTATGTTGCACCCTGGTTGGAAGCATGCCTAAAAGCCGAAATATTTTGGAGTGAGTGGCTAAGTTAAGAAAATCTAATATACTTTATGCTTGCACCCTGAAATTTAACATGTCATTTTCTACAACTTTGCACTGTTCTTTTCTTAACTGTCTCACGTTTTAGTGTTAACCCCCACAAGAAGTCTTCAGGCTTTTTGAGAACAGGTGTCATCTCTAGTTGTACTTGTTTGGAATGCCTCAAGACAGATAATATAAAACCACAAAGCAGGTTCTCAAGAAATTACCTGCTATTTGATAAAAAATTAATATATTTGAACTTTCTTCTCATCATTTTATCTTATATGTTCTGTTTCATGATTTTTAGTGTTCAAAGATATATTAGGTTTAGATTTTTCACCCTCATAGCTGCAAGTATAAAATGCCTCTATAATATGCCTGAAAATGGATCATCTATTCTCAGTAAGATATTCTCCATTGACAGGGAAACATGGATTCCTGCCCACATCTTACATAAAGTATGTTAAGAAAGAGGGGTTCTGTTAGGTCGTTCATTGGATTTCAGATCCATTCTCCACATTTTCCCTGCTCTGTTCTGCACTGCAGGGATTGACTCTTCAACTACATTTCTGAGGCTTCTTTTTGCCCACTGGCTCTGAGGTAGGCTTGCTACTAGGACACACTGACAGGAGATTGAAGAGAGAGGGGAAGAGAGAGCCTGAGGATATGGGGTGAAATATCCCTCAGTGGTTCTCACTATGATGATACTTTTCTCCAGATTACCCTGGCATCTGAGGTCTGTTAACACCTCCTTTCTCCCTATGTCCCAACAGCCACAAGAATGGTCATATCTTGTTTTGCTTATCTCTGGGTTGGCTCACCATCTCCTAGTTGACTTTTTCTCTTTTCTTCCATATGTGCAATTAATTACATGCATAATTTCCTCTTGTTTAAAATACTTATAGTGATTTTATTTTCTGTGTTGGACTCAGACTGATGCAAGATGTAGTGTAGACTCACAACACTTTGTAACTCAGCAAAGTTTGTGTCGTGCTGATGTGGTTCTATTATCATTCCTGGTATGCTTTATTTTCTACTTTATTTAGATATTTATGTTTTCTTTTCTTTTTGTAGAGATGGGATCTCACTGTGTTGATCAGCCTGGTTTCAAACTTTTGGCCTCAAGTGAGCCTCCCGCCTTGGCCTCCCAAGGTGCTAGTATTAGAGGTATTAGACGCTGCATCCAGGTTATTTATTTATTTATGTAGCATCAGCAACAAAGCTTCATTCTTCTTTAGTAGCTAATGTGTGTTTACAATCAAATGTCCTTCTTCCCACGCCTGCTTATGTTCACTGTTTCACCAACACCCCTGTGTTCTAAGAAGAATGATAAAAGATAAACGAGTCCAGGAGAGTTATGCAGTTTCTGTTTGTTTACCACAAGTATGTTTTTGATGGCCAAAAAAGAACCCACAAGAAATGTATGTTTTCAGGGCAATTACTTCTTTAAAAAAATGTCCCCCAGAGGACATGCTTTATCCGCTTACATTATTCTAGGATTGTCATCCACTGAAAAGTAAAAGATAGTTTCTCAAGTGCCTGCCAACTAAACGGCAGTAAAGAGTAACTTTTTTACCTTTCAAAAGCAATGACTGAGAGGGCCACAGAATGCTGTCATCCATCAGTTTGCCAGGAAAGAAACATCCATAGAAAAGTTCATATACTGTTGGCACTGCTTAATTACAATTCAGATCATCTGTGTAACCATAGAACCCACCAAATATTTGCTCTAATATTTTCTGACATAGAAAAAATTGAATTCAGAGGTTCTGTTTTCCCAACATAATGGTGAAAATGTATAGTGTTATTTTCCTTTCTTCCTCTTTTACTGTACTTAGCGGTTTCTGCATTGGCAGGTTCTGAATGGGAAAGGACTAAAATGGTGGCAGAGGAAGCTTTGTTGTTTTTGTCTTCATTGTTTTCTTTCCTGGAGATAGTAAGTCTTAATCCAATAGTCAAAAACATTTTTGAATATATAGTTTATGCACTGTTTTAGGTATTACTGGATGTACAAAATCAATATACAACAAATCCTCTACTCTCACAGACTTCACAGTTTAGCTGGGGAGATGAAATTAACAAAATTAAAATATACATGTGGTAAATTGTTTAGTTCTATTAGTTATAATAAAAAAGAAAATATAGTCAGAGCTTGAACAACTCAAATCAGCAAAATTTATTAAGTGCTTTTTTTTCCCTTTGCACCACACTGACCTTTCATGAGATTTGAGAACAAAAATGACACTTGAATCAGCCATAACAAATGGATTAGATGTGAATGAACAGGGGATTAGCAAAAAACGTTATAGGCAAAAGGTGCAGCATGATTAAGAAATGATTAAGTGGTGAAGTATACTTTGTAATATGGTGTTGAGATATTAACTGATTTCTCAAAGTTTGTATTGATTTTTTAAGTCCTCTAAAGATATCACTGGGACAGAAAGAAGACAAATACAAAATGTATCCCTTCACGCCATGAACATCGTCAGGTTCCTTTTGTTTATTTCTGCTGTTTTAAAATTTACTCAATATTTATCTCAGTATGGACTCTTAAGTACTTATTTTCTACTTTGGTTTATAATAATACTCTATTATTAGTTTCATTGCATTCCAGCTTTGACTAGTGGTAGCTTTCTCAAATTGATTTCTATGTCCCTTTGACACCGCCTATCCCTTTGGTTTTTGACTATTTCCTTTCTTTCCAAAACTCTTAAGATGTTCCTGACTCATGTTTTATTTTCCCTGCCCTCATCCTAGATTCAGCCATGTCTCCAGGACACCTGGGTAAGTTTATTAGAGCATGGTATTCAGAAGTTGCTGGGTACATGTAGGGTCCCTCAGTTACCTCCCCATCCTCCCCCACATGCACTGCATTTCTTTGTCCTGACTGGTGCCTTGAGCTCTCTGTGACCTGGCCAGTGATATATTTTCTCCAGCAGGCCTGGACCCAAGTTGGGGCCTGGAAGGCACCAAGGAACATTCTGAGGTAATGATAAAATTGTTTAGGTTGTTGCCTGAAATATTGAAAGGTCAAACATGTTCCTAGAAACTGATCCCAGGCCTGAGTCAAATTCTTTAAAACATCTTATTAACCCCCAAATCTTACTCTCTCCTGATGTACATACCTGGGCCGAACATCTGCTTTCTCACTGTCCATCTCAAGGACACTGCAGCCCCTAATGTAAGTTCCCCTAATGAATGCTGTGGACTGCTTACCCTGGTGTTTAGTGCTTCTTTGTTTGGGATTCCAACTGGCCTCATCTTGGGATGGTTTGAGGCAATCTCTTATAGGAGCTCCCCTGCCACCACTTTTGGGATGACTCTAGCCACAAGTCTGCTGGACAGAACAATTAAAGTAGTATACAGGATTCCAAAGAAATGGGATGGGGAAAAGAGGAATAAACCAGAAAGATCCTGGGATAGCGGCAAGGGTTTATGTTGGACCCTCTTTCCCACCTGCTGGATACTGTGGGCTGCATTGGGAGTTGCTCCAAAAGTTCTAACAGGTTTGAGTAGCCTAATGGAGGGTTTGAAATTACACATGGCCAACAAGGAAGCCTGGCTCTTAGCAGCAGGAATAGGCTGGCCTCTGCTGTGGCAGTCCATCTGGATTATTCAGGCTCGGCTGGTGGCCAAAAACAAGGTGTACATGTTAGAGGAGGAATTATAACCAGAAAGGGACATGCATTACACTCTGTTATTTATAGACATGGAGGGCAAAATGGAAGAAGGAAAGGCTTGGCTGCACACACTGACATGCTACTATGCTTAACTTTTTGTGATGAGAAAATGTGTGTGTTCGTGCCGTTGTCCAGAGCCCTTACTGGAATAATAAAAAATAAAATCCATTAGAAAGTGAAAGTGAATCTGAGAACTGGATAGAAATGATGGATTCAGAAAAGAAGGACTAAGGGGCACATTTGAGGGCTCGATCCCTCAGACTAAATTGAAACAAAGCTACCAGGCAGGCATGCAAAGACCCCCACCACCTGCCAATCAAACTTATTCCTTGTGCAGATATCCTCCAGTGAAGTTGATTGATCTGTCTATCCCCTTTTCCGCAGAACCCAAAAGCAGTCTTTAGCTGCTTGGCTGGTAAAATTATGGGATAGTGGTGCTGATGGGGTGGTTCTATCTGGAAATGAGGAAAAAAGGTTAGCAATGTTACCGCACATCCGTGCATCAGGCAACACCTATGTGATCTCCCTGCTATTGCAGAGAATCATTCCTTGATGGACTGGACCATACTAGCCTATAGGGAAGGCTGACCATTGGAGGAAGATATGCCTGGGTATCCTGAATCTTGGAAGACAATCAATTTGTGGTGTGAGTTGGCAGTGAGGGTGACCATCTACGTCCTTGCTTTCCAGGGGCCTGATAATGCCCTTTCACAGCTGGAATGCACAACGAGATCCTAAAGGCTGTTCCACCATGTTGGAAGGACACTGGTCCCTATCTTAGGTCTTTTGGTGGGGCCTTCACAATATCATATCCCATGAGGGAACTAAGATATAATAGCTATTATTCAGGAACTAGAGAGGGTGGGACTTGTGCCTCTTGCACAGAGCCCATTCAACAGCCAGATATGGCCCATGTGAAAACCCAACAGCATCTGAAGAATGACGGTTGATGACTGACAACTAAATAAGGTGACTCCAGCCATGCATACTACTCTCCCAAATGTGGCTCAAAGCCTGGAAAGACTGACTAGTTTGTAGCCAGACTGACTAGTGTTCAGTGCATGGGATACTGTCTTGGATTTAGCAAAACTTTATTTAGCATACTCTTAGACCCAAAGTCCCAGGACCTGATTGCCTTTACCTGGGAGGACAAACATTGGTCCTCTCAGGTGCTCAGGTGCTCCCCAGGGACACTTACCTATCCCCATGATTTGCTGTGATTTAGGGGCAAGAGACCTTGCCATTTTGGGTGACAAGTCCAGCATTCACTGGAAACATTACGTGCATGATATTCTGCTAAAGTTTATGGATTTAAGTCTTTTGCAGAAGGCTACCTAGAACGTCCTAGAGCAACCACAATCCAGAGGATGAGCCAGCAACCCACACAATATCTAGGGACCGAAGGCACCATGAAATTCCTGGGTGTGGTCGATAGAGTAAGACCTGGGTTTTGGCTACAGCCATGATCAACCAAATACAGACATACCTATGGCCTTGAACATTTTAAAATTCAAATTTTTATACGTATGCTAGGATTTTGGAAGACTTTAATTCTATACTTGGCCTAATGTTTCAGGCCATTATACTGCCTGATAAATAAGGAGACACAAAAGGTGAGAAAGCCTTAGTGACACAAGCACAAGCCCTACAAACCATTTCATCCCCAGGAGATCATTTAAATTGGATGTTTATGTGACTGCAGAAGGAATGGACTGGGCCCCCTGGCAAAGGGAGGATAAACAATGAATCCCATTGGATTCTAGTTACAATTGTTCAAAGGTGTTGAGCAGTACTATACTGTGTTAGATAAACGTTTCCTTGCAGTTTAGCAGGCCCTCTTGCAAACCAAGCCTCTAGCAAAATAATACTTTGGCTAAGTGGCATACATATTTCCAACAGAGAAGATACCTAATATCCAGTCCTCTGTTGATAAAACTAGAGGCCCCGTTGGGACCTGTACAATATACAGTTCACCTTTGAACAAAACAGGGGTTAGAGATGCTGCCCCTCTCACCTCTGGACTGTCAAAAATTCATGTATAACTTCAATCCCCAGAAACTTAATTACTAATAGCTTACTGTTGACTGGAAGCCTTATTTATAACATAAACAGTCAATTAACACATACTTTATATGTTATTTGTATTGTATACTATATTCTCACGATAAAGTGAGTTAGAGAAAAGAAAATATTATTTAAAAATTATAAGGAAGAGAAAATATATTTACTATTTATTAAATGAAAGTAGATCATCATAAATGTCGTCATTCTTGTCATCTTCACATGGGTAAACTAAGGAGGAAAAGGGAGAGGAGGGGTTGTTCTTGCTGTCTCAGGGGTGGCAGAACAGGAAGAAGTGGAGGAGGTAGAAAGGGAGGCAGGCAGTCAGTGAAACTTTTCAAACTTTTATTGAAAAGAATCCACATATACGTTGCCTTGTGCAGTTCAAACCCACATTGTTTAAAGGTCAGCTGTACCATAGATTTAAAATCCATCCCAACACTGCCTCCAGAGAAACCCTATTGAATAAAATGAGATGGTAACACACCAGAGGATGCATGGTACACGGATGGCTCCAGTGTAGGCCAACCACCCAAATGGACTCTTGTGGCTATTCAATTGGCCACAGATACCATACGTGTGAAATCAGGAATGGGACCTAACAGCCAATGGGCTGATCATATGAGCTGCGTGTTTAGTAATTATGAAGGAGCTACACCTAGCAACTTTGTGTACTGATTCCTTGATGGTCATTAAAGGGTTGACACTGTCAATAATTCAAAGGCAAATGATCAATGATTTGTAAATGAGAGATTGTTGTGGGAGTCAGAGCTATGGACAGATTTTGGGACCAGTTACAAAAATCAAAGGCTGACATAACAATCTTCCACATAGCAGCTCACCAACAAACATCCCCTAGTAGAAATATAAAAGCAGATATCCTGGCCATAGCCTGCTCAGTACTTATCTCTGAAAAAGATGATGCAGCTAACACACAGCGTACATTAGAAGGAAGGTCATAGGAAGCTGCATACTGCTTCAAAGCTGGTCCCTGCAGGCTAGCTCATCTTGTCCAAACAAGAAACAGAGGAAGCAATACAAAATTGCCCCATCTATTGCTAGGCCTGTCCTTAGCAAGTGCCAGGAATTACTGCAAATAAAAAGAGAGAAGAAAGAGTCATTGATACATGGAAAATGAATTTTTCTGGCCCACTGCCTAAGAGTAAGAAATACTGATATTCACTCACATGCACAGACAGTATGAATAGCTTCTCCCAAGCTTTTACCTGTCAAAAAATAAATCAGATCCTGACTATATGAGGTCTGCAACACTTGTAGCCAGTGTGTGATATCCCAAGAACTATTGCCAAAATCATCAAGAAACATAGTTCACAAGCTTCCTAATCCCAAATTGGGCACAATAGGAGGGCATCATCTGACAATTTTATCTGCCCTACAACCCACAGAGAGTAGGAGTTATGATGAGGAAAAATGGCCTTTAAAGGAGCAAATTAAACTCTTGATAGAACTTCCCTCATAGAGAAATTGGGCTATAGTTTTAATGGAAGCTATATGTGGTTTTAATGAGGTCCCATTCTGGGAACAAAAATGCCTTATGAACATCTGGTAGATATAAAGAAACCAACAAAAGCCGTGTGGGTATGGAGGAAATCAGACACTACCTTAAGCCCAGAATTCATTTCCACCTGGAACACCCTAATTTTGCACTCACCTTGTCCCACAGTGTGTGGACAGGAATCCCTGAGATGGGAGATGGGATCCGGAAAAATAAGTGCTCTTGGGCTGGATTGGTGTCCTTCTTTCCCTAAGGCAGGAGGCTGCCACTGCCTTAAGCCTGATCCCCAACTTTCCTTTTCAATAAAGGACCGAAGGAGACATTGACGGTGGTCACGCAGTGCCCTTAATACAGTGGATTTCATTCAGCCCTATAACTACATAGTCTACAACTTCTCCCATGCTGAGATAAAAGGTCTGGTATTGCTCTCCTAGGAAGATTCTGATGGTGACTGAGACTATTTTGGCAGGGGTGATCTCATACTATAAGAGGGGCCAGAGGCCGTTTTATGTGTTCCTAATAATTTTTGTCTGTGTGCTGTTAGTTTGAGCTGCCTTCTCCTCTGCTATTATATCATCCCCACCAGCACTTGCATGTCCAAGGAGAATGTCTTCCTAGCCTGTCCACAGAGTCCCTTTGAAAGGCCTATCTAGCTGCTGCTCATGGCATCTTATGCCCTTGAGTAGCCTTGGAGGTACTCCATTGTACTCATGGTGGACTGAGCTACAGAGAGGAGACGATCTCTTTACATACATCGATAACTAAACAACATATAGAAGTGAGTACTTCTGACATCACGCATGCAAACTTGGTTGACTGGGATGTGACATTGAGCAACACTGGACCCAGTGTACGTTTATCCATGAAAATGTTCTGCAGGAAAGCAACTGCTAAAGCAAGAACTACCCCTACAAGTGCCACATTCTGGCAGCAAATGTTAGAAGGGAGGGGCTATGTGTGGCTCATTGCTGTGGCACAGATGCTCTCCTGCATTGTGGATATCTCTTGGAAAAAAAACATAACCACTCTAAAGACATTCAGGTAAACAATACCAGGTACCTAAGGTTCCTTCCAACTGCCTGATGCCAGCACACTGTTATACTTAAGGACAAGGATTGGTTCACCACAGACTGGTCTTTTAGGGTAGGAATATATGGGATCACCCTGAAGGACACTCAGTGGTTCTGTGGTACTAACTTCTAGCCTTGGTTTTCCCCATGGTGGCATGGATGGTGGACTCCCATCTTCTCATGCCTGCACTCCAGAATCTCTGACACTCTTCCTGTCTCCCTCAATGAGCCCATCTGAAAAAGTTTGTGGAGTAGGTCCGTCTTTTCTTTGTGGAATTACTTATGTCGATATTTTTGCCTCTGGGAGGCTCTATTATCATGCAGAAGGTGGAAGTCCTTCACAGATTTGTCTCCAGAGCTTTGCATGACACTGAGCATGGTTTGGAGGCCTTCAGTATTGAAACAGCCACCATAAGGAAAATGGTTCTACAGAGCCAAATGGCTTTAGCCATGGTGATAGCTGTGCAAGGGAGAGCCTTCTGTTTCTTTGTATAAACTGAGTGTTGCATGTATATTATAGACAAAAAAGCTGAATTTACGCAATCCCTCTTTCATTTACAAACACAATTACAGTTAATTGACCACATGGGGGAATGACTCTTGGTGGTCTATAATAAAATCATGGTTTTTGAAATCGGGTTCTTAGTGGAAAACTCTGCTAGTAAGCTTGTTAAAAATTGTGATAATAGGTTTTATAATATACACCTATATTTACTGCTGATGTGAGTTTTGTTTGCAGTGCTTCATAAAGTTAAAATAAAAGACATTGCAGGCAAGCCTGCCCTTTCCTACTGACTCAGATCATCACAGAAAATATGGCATGTAAGATTGTAGGATCTGATCAGAAATATGGATTGTAGGGTCCCTCAGTTGCCCTCAATTTCCTTCTTTTCCTGACCTAGAAACGTAGACTGCCTTGAATGATCTGTAACTGAACCAGATGTATGTTTTCCCCAGCAGACTTGGACCCAAGTCTGGGCCTGGAAAATAACAGGAAATATTCTAAGGTTCTGGTAAAGTTGTTTAGTTTGATGCCTGAAACACTAAAAGATCAAACAAGTAGAAACTAGCCCAGATCTTAGTTAGATTCTTTAAACCCTAATATAAACTTTGTAACCCAACCCTCTCCTGATGGCCATGTCTGGGAGAACATCTTTCTCACTATCCGTCTCAAGAATTCTACAGCCCAGTATATAGAAGTTCCCTGAGGATGTGCTTTGGACTGCTTGTCCTGGCATTTAGTGGTTTTTTTGTTTGGAATTCCAACTGGCCTCATCTTGGGATGGTATGGGGCAGTCTTTTGGGGGAGCTTCCCTGCCACTACTTTTGGGGTGACTCTAGCCATGGTCTCAGCCAAACACAACAATATGCTTGTTGCTCCTAGGGTTTCATTACTTCTAAGCACTCTCAGCAGACAGAACAGGCAATGTATTTATGTATCATAACTCCTGTATCTATACATCTCTACAATTTTTTCTGTATCCCTCTTTATACATATTAAGTTAAACATAAGATCACAC